>NC_000010.11:15161515-15313030 GCF_000001405.40 Homo sapiens | reverse complement strand
ACATCTCGCTCAAAAGTAGAGAATAAAAAAGTGCAAGGCCGGGCACGGTGGCTCACCCCTGTAATCCCAGCACTTTGGGAGGCCGAGGAGGGTGGATCACCTGAGGTCAGGAGTTCGAGACCAGCCAGGCCAACATTGTGAAACCCATCTCTACTAAAAATACAAAAATTAACCGGGCGTGGTGGTGGGCCTGTAATCCCAGCTACTCAGGAGGCTGAGGCAGGAGAATCGCTTAGACCTCGGAGGCGGAGTTTGCAGTGAGCCGAGATTGCACCACTGCACTCCAGCCTGGGCAACAAGAGCAAAATATCGTCTCAAAAAAAAAAAAAAAAAAAAAAAAAAAAAAAAAAAAAAAAACACACAGTGCTGAACTCATTCCAGTAGTTGATTTACATTCCGGTGACAGATTTTTAAAAAGAGTAACAAACAGTTCAGTTTGCAGCCGGGCACCTCTGTGAGCCACAATCTGAGCTGCACAGCCCTGGGGGTATGGAGGGACAGGAGAGGGTCCCTGAGAAGGTGGAGCCCCCCGAGACTCGTGCATACCCCCAGTGTTGCCCCACTGGCTTTAACCAGAGCAAGCTCTAATTTTACTTAGTGTCAGCATAGCATTTTATCTTTAAAGGGTTCAGAGGCTTTAAAAATATTCGAAAGCTCCCCACCATAGCAGCAGACTCCTTTTGGAGTTCAGCAGCGAGTAAGCAACAGGGCTTTAGACTTAGAGTGACAGTTGGAGTGAGCGTCTCTCCATTTCTAACCTTGCTGCTTTGTTTATGAAGCATATTTTCTTTCCTATTCTTCTTTCAAGCTCACTTTTATAAGCAGGGGGCTTTTGATCCTCTCTTTCGATGACCCGATCTGGTCCGATTCAAAAGGCCATGCCTGGAACTTGAATGGGAGGCAGCTTTGGTATAATAGGAAGTGCACGAGATTTAGAAGATGCACGCTTGAATCTCAGCTCTGCTGGGTGGCAGCTGTGTGCCCTGGGCAGGTCACTCACCTTCTCCGAGTCAGCTTCCTTGTCTTTAAAAATGGGGCTGATCTCACATACCTCACTGTAACAGTAAATAATCACGTAATGTACGTGAGGAACATTCACATGTAGGATGAGGCCTTCAGTTTCACTGGCACCTTGGACTAGCACTGTCTAGGCATCATTTTTCTTGGAGCTGTTATCAAAGCCATATTGACTGTGAATGAGAGAAAATACCCTGTCACATGCACAGAAAAGGCTAGGCAGAGGAGAATTCTCCTTTACTCTCCTGGACCTCAGGTGCTTCTGTTCTTCCAGGGGGAAAACGTGATGCCGCCTTCTTTATCTTGAGAGCAATCACCTCCTACTCTATGCCTCCCAGGTGGGGTGGGGCGGCTTACTAGGGGGCTGTGGGGCGGGAAGAAACCAGGGACTGCATTTCATACTAAGCCACCCAGAAGAATGCTTTAGAGCTTATTTAAGGGGAATCCCAGGATATATGGAGATGAAGCTAAATTTATTTCTCATTTTTAATGCCAGGAGAGCAATGCAATCTGTTTGAAGGAGGAAACAAAAGCATTTACCCAGGGAAGGCGAAGGTTACTTCCTACAGAGTGGAGCCTTCCAGTGCCATTCCCTATTTTTGCAGCAAGTGGGTCAAAAATAACTAAAAGGGAATATAGGCTTAATTTTTTTCTCCAATCTTCTTCCTCCCCCTCTAAGTCATTGAAATGTCAAATGCAAAAATAGACAATCCTGCAACAAATACATTGAGAATATACCCATGCTGCAGAAAGCATGTGCTTGTAAAGATACAGAAGCCTGCCCAGTCTCTGCAAACAGAAATGCTTAGACCCTGAGTGTAAAATAAGTGGCCTGTTTTTTCTTTTTAAAGGCAACAACTGTAAATGTGTATTGTTTGAGGAACAGGGGGCAGTAGCCTGTGGGTGGGCCTATCAGGCTGTAACTGCATGAAGAGCAGGGATAAGGCTTGGAACAGAGATACGCCCCAGCAGCCCATCCTTCCAGCAGCCCTAGGTCCCCTGTATCTCATGCTGGCCTGGACTCAGCCCCTCCTGGAGGGCTCTGTCTTCCCAGCCCTGCTCCAAGACCCACGTGCTTGGGGTCCATCCTGCCACAGAGCTGCCTTCCAGGTACAGAGAGATGGAAAGGGAAGGAGACCCTCTGGAGGCTTCAGGCTTAAACCCAATGGGTCTTTTTTTTTTTTAAGACAGAGTCTCGCTCTGTCATGCACTGCGACTTCTGCCTTCCTGGTTCAAACGGTTCTCCTGCCTCAACCCCTGAGTAGCTGGGACTACAGGCACGCGCCACCACGCCTGGCTAATTTTTTTGTATTTGTAGTAGACGGGGTTTCACCATGTTGGCCAGGCTGGTCTCGAACTCCAGACCTCAAGTGATCCTCCTGCCTTGGCCTCGCAAAGTGCTGAGATTACAAGTGTGAGCCACCATGCCCAGCCCCAATGGGTCTTTATACTAGAAGGAGTTTTCGTTTTAAAGACGGGTCAGTTGGAGAGAACATTTGGTATTGGGTTGCAGAACAGGTTAGGCTGTGGGAGAGGGGCCAGGTTGGTCACGGTACTCTGCATTCAAGGCAGTGGGTCACAAGACCAGACCAGTTTGCATCTCAGCTCTGCCATTTGTAGGACATGTTTAACCTTCTTAGGTCACCCTTTCCTTTACAACAACCCAAGGGTATTACCTGCTCTAACCTGTGTCACAACATTAAGATCAAATAAGAGAAACCGTGTGATGATTTATTGGAAACTAGATTATCCCATACATAAAAAAGATGCTGTTTAGGGATTTTAAAAAATTTTTCGTTCCTCTTACCCACCAAATTCCTGCTCACCAAACACTTTCCCCCAGTCTGCACCTGCCCCCACACAGGCATTGCAACAGAAACTGGAAACTGGCCATTCTTTTATATATTTGGTTTTTGAAGGCCAGAAAGAAAATTTGACTATCAAGTATCATCGGATTCTTAAGCCCAACTTTTTTAGTTTTAGGCTAGTGCGTCCTACACCCAAAGACAACTTGTATTTGTTGCTCAACAAAAATACCAGAGACTACAAACGTTAGAGATTAGAGGTTAGAAATTAAACATATCTTTTGTGTTCTTTCCTCCTAACTGAACATTTACCCAGTCACTAAGCAAAAATAATTTAATGATCACTGAAAGTTTGCTGTGTTTAAATATTAGCAGCACAGGTAAATATTACCTGCAATTTTAATTCATTTGTTTTTCACATTGGAGAAAAGAAGGCATAGAAAATGCAGATTTCCTGCAAGTCCTGAGGAAAGTCTTTAGAAGTTAGGTGGGATTAGCTTCTTCCCCTCCAAATACTTTGTTTTGTTTGTAGATTCAAGTTCACATGCTATTGAGTATTTCATTTTAAATATGGGCAATTGTCGGCCAAGACTTTGAATGCTGTGGTTTGCTTTACATAGCTTTTAAATCATGAGTTGTGAGCCAGTGTTCAGCTCATTGGTTATTTCAGTAAATATGTGCATTAGAAAAATAAGATAAACTTGCCCAGGCACAGTGGCTTACGCTTGTAATCCCAACACTGGGACGCCAAGGCGGGAGGATTGCGTGAGACCAGGAGTTCAAGACCAGCCTGGGCAACATAGTGAGACCCCATCTCTACGAAAAATAAAAATAACAACCAGACATGGTGGTGTGTGCCTATAGTCCCAGCTACTCGGGAGGCTGAGGTGGGAGAATCGCTTGAGCCTGGGAGGCCGAGGCTGCGTGAGCCATGATCGTGCCCCTGCACTCCAGCCTGGGCAACAGAACAAGGCCCTGTCTCAAAAATAGTAGTAAGTTAAATTTGGTTTCTGCTTGTTCCTAATTTGTATTACATTTAAGTTCATGTTTATGTTATGTACATCCATTAATTTATTGCTTACAGATTACATAGTAAGAAATGAGCAAGAAAGCTGAATATTCAAAATACAAAGTAGGACCAGGTTTGCAATAAGGAATAGTTGTTCATGCTAAGATTTTATTTGGTTTTTTTAAGTTGTAAAAATAACAATTTATGGAAATACTGATTAAAATAGGCTTTGTCAGCCGGCTGCAGTGGCTCACGTCTGTAATCCCAGCATACTGGGAGGCTGAGGCGGGTGGATCACTTGAGGTCAGGAGTTCGAGACCAGCCTGGCCAACATGGTGAAACCCCATCTCTACTAAAAATGCAAAAATTAGTTGGGTGTGATGTCTGCTCCTTGATTACTGCTTGTGATGACCTTAATGTGGCTTTGCAACCCTTCAGGTTTAAAAAGGAACTAAAATGGTCAGTGCTGTAAAAACAAACAAAATACCCACTAATGCTTGGAGTGGAAAACCTGTTTTTTGGGGTTTGTTTGTTTGTTTGTTTGTTTGTTTTTTGAGACAGAGTTTTGCCCTTGTTGCCCAGGCTGGAGTGCAATGGCGCAATCTGCACTCGGGAGGCTGAGGCAGGAGAATTGTTTGAACCCGGTAGGCGGAGGTTTCAGTAAGCCAAAATCGTGCCACTGCACTCCAGCCTGGGCAATGGAGCAAGACTCCATCTCAAAAAATAATAGAAATAAAATAGAGTTTGTCAAGATAAGATGTCCGAGCTGTTCGGTATCTTTAAAAACTTTCTGCTTTTGAAAACTCAGTGTTAGCAGATGTTTGTCTATTTACAAGATTTCCTTTTATAACCTCCCCCTAGCATTTATTAATTTTCACAATGAGGTAGCAATTTTGCTTTGCTTTCTGACATGAGAGTATATGCCCTTCCTAAGTAAATCCTATGTACTCTGATTGTATACTTGCAAGTAGAGTATAATGTGTTGCAGTTAGATTGTGTGCCTGACAACCACTGATTTTGAAAGACAAATGTTAGTGTGGACAGCATGAGAGTGACAACATTGTTTAACACTTCCTAATGAAAGTAAAATTTTTCTGGGCCTGGTAGCTCATGCCTGTAATCCCAACACTTTGAGAGGCCGAGGTGGATTACTTGAGGCCAGGAGGTTAAGACCAGCATGGGCAACATAGCTAGACCTCATCTCTACAAAAAAATTAAAAAATAAAAAATGAGCCCAGTATGGTGGCATGTGCCTTTGGTCCCAGTTACCTGGGAGGCTGAGGTAGGAGGATCGCTTGAGCCCAAGGATTCGAGGCTGCAGTGAGCTGTAGCCACTGCACTGCAGCCTGGGCAACAGAACAAAATGCTGTCTCAAAAAAAAAAAAAGGCATTAATTCCCCCACATTGCCTCTGTGCTCCTAAATAAGACTTATTGGTTGGTTGATTAGGAAGGAAACATCACAGTATTGGAAGAATATACCCATGGTTTTGTGGTGGTAGAACTGTTTTGAGATCTTCTTCAAGTCGCATTTTTTTTTTTTTTTTTTTTTTTTGAAATGGAGTTTCACTCTTGTTGCCCAGGCTGGAGTGCAGTGGTGCAATCTCGGCTCACTGCAACCTCTGCCTCCCGAATACAAGCGATTCTCCTGCCTCAGCCTCCTGAGTAGTTGGGATTACAGAAGCCTGCCACCATGCCTGGCTAATTTGCTGTGTTTTTAGTAGAGACGATGTTTCACCATGTTGGCCAGGCTGGTCTCGAACTCCTGACCTCAGGTGATCCACCCGCCTCAACCTTCCAAAATGCAGTGATTACAGGTGTGAGCCACTGCACCCGGCCTCAAGTCGCTTTCTACTTTAAGATGGAATCTTCACTATTTGATCCTGTGTATGGCCTGTTAGCTCAGCCTGTTAGAATCACGTCTGTGTCGTGTCAGGGTTGCAGGTTCAGCCCCCATATGGCCTGTGTATATGACATGCATTTGCACCCTGCAAGCAAATGGGAATTTGCAGGGTTTGTGCAGATTCCAACTTTCTGAAAAACAAATCAAGGTATGTGCCCTCTTGCGGGTGGGCTGATGGTGTCATCCTCATGCTCCTGGGTCAGCACATAGAAGCAGGAAATAAGGTCACCCAACAGAGAGCCTTTCCACAGTACCCTGGATGTAAGTGGATATCCGCACCTGTGAACTGCAGTGACCGAAAGCCCTGGAGAGGGTTCCGTGTCTTCAGAATCACTGAGTGTTTTTGAAGGGCACATGGCGTGATGGAAAGCCGTGCTCTAGGAGGCTTGGTCTGGCAGGAGTGTTAGTCATGATGGATGTCAGCTGGACTTAGTTCCGGTGAGAAGGTGGATAGGACCTAATTGAGTAGAAGAAAAGGATTCTGGATGGAACTGCTGCTTCTCTGGCTGCAGATAGTTGTACTTAAGATGTGGCTTTCAGTCACTGCCCTCATTTATATTTTTGGGTGGTCATCCTTGAGATTCTTCACCTTAAATCTGATGGTCGTGACAGTCCATTGAAAAAGAATGGCTATGCCAGGCTCAGTGGCTCACGCCTATAATCCCAGCACTTTGGGAGGCTGAGGCGGGTGGATCACCTGAGGTCAGCAGTTTGAGACCAGCCTGGCCAACATGGTGAAACCCCGTCTATACTAAAAATACACAAAATTAGCCAGGCATGGTGGGGCATGCCTGTAGTCCCAGCTACTCGAGAGACTGAGTCAGGAGAATCGCTTGAACCCAGGAGGCAGAGGTGGCAGTGAGTCAAGATTGTGCCACTGCACTACAGCCTGGGTGACAGAGCAAGACTGTCTCTCAAAAAAAAAAAAAGAATGGCTAATCCTAAAAGGGTTAAATAAATTACATTGATATTGATGACAATGATGTAAGCATTTTTTCCTCTGCACAATTTAAATATTTTAATTTGACTTTTTCAAAGAAGAACCCCAAACAGTTTACCTGTCATAGCCTCAGTGAAACACCTGAATTGAAATCTGTAACTTAAAATCTTCTCAATCACATTATTCAGGTAAATGCACATCTGAATGTGAAGATAGGGGCTTGCCCCAGCAAGAAACATACGGTCGAGTTGCACACGAGACCCATGCCCGTGATACATTTATCATGTTATCCATGGATCATGCTCTATTTGTGCGATTCCTTTGCATGATCTTGTCCATGCTGTCAGACCCCGTTCTGATGATATTTTGAGAGCAGTTCCACTAAGAGCTCTGTCCAGGCCACCCTCCTCGCCTGTGTTGAGAGAGGATCTGAAGTTTGGCGTTAGTCTTCCTCCTATGTCTGTCCCCGTGTTCGTGCACAGGCACATAGGCACCAGCAAGCCTTTCTCCGATTTTAGGGCTGGACTTTCACCATGGGTTCACCCCACAGTGTCCTTCTGTGGCAGTCCAATTTGCATATTGGATGTACAATTAACCACTTCCCTGCTCAAAAATCTTCAGTGATTTTTTGCTGTCCAAAGTCTGAAATTTTTCATTCACTCTTCTGATCTTTTTTTTTTTTTTTTTTTTTTTTAGCCAGATCTCACTCTGTCACCCAGGCTGGAGTACAGTGGTATGATCACTTCTCACTGCAGCCTCAAACTCCTGACCTCAAGCCATTTTCCCACCTAAGCCCCCTGAGTAACTGGGACTACAGGCATGCACACCACACCAGGCTAAGCTTTTAATTTTATGTAAAGATGGGTCTCACCCAGGCTGGTCTTGAACTCCTGGCCTCAAGCAATCCTCCCACCTCAGCCTCCTGAGTTACTGGGATTATAGGCATGAGCCATGGCACCCAGCCCTCCATTCAGTTCTTTTATAGACATTATAGAGTCGGGAAGGTGACGTGAGAGGTTCATCAGGTCTGATACTGAGTCTTTTATTGTGCTTACCTAACCAGACATTTCCTCTCTCCAGATTAATATTTTCTGTGATCTAGAATTTACTGTTTATTCATGCAGCCTAAACTGTTACAAAGATCTTCCTTGCAGCAAGTATAAATAAAACTAGTTCTGCACCAGTACCTTGTTCATGGCGTATCTTCACCGGGAAAACCTTGAGTCATCTACTATTTTAAATTATAAGTTTTATTATTATTCAGGTGTGGTGAGGCCAACAGACCAGTAGAGGATGGGCAGCTACAGGGAAGATAGTTACTTGGCCGGGTGCTGTGGCTCATGCCTGTAATCCCAGCACTTTGGAAGGAGGCTGAGGCAGGCGTATCACTTGAGGTCAGGAGTTTGAGACCAGCATGACCAACATGGGAAACTCCATCTCTGTTAAATACAAAAATTAGCCAGACGTGGTGGCGCATGCCTGGAATCCCAGCTACTTGGGAGGCTGAGGCAGGAGAATTGCTTGAACCTGGAAGGCAGAGGTTGCAGTGAGCCAAGATTGCGCCAGTGCACTCTAGCCTGGGCAACAGAGCGAGACTCTGAAGAGAGAAAAAGACAGAGAGAGAGGGAGAGAGGGAGGGAAGTTAAAAGAAAAGAAGAGTTGCTCACAGTTCCCAAGAGGAGGGCTACACCATAACAGGCAGGGCCACACAGAGAAACACCAGGGCCAGCCAGGAGGCTGAGGGAGCAGGAGAAAATGTGGGCAGGACCCTTTATTGAGGTTTTTTCAGGAAGGAATGGACAAGGCAGGGTATGCGGCCGCAGCAGGTTTAGGGTTGGCTAATTTGACTAATTTTGATGGGTTCTGGGGCAGAGGAGCTCACCCCAGTTGACTGGTACCTGGCCCTGGCGTCATCAGGGCAGGGAAGGGTGGCCTGGAATATAAGAGCCCCTAGGGGATGTGGCTGGGGAGTGGGCTCTGGATTGACAGGCTGCAGGTGAAAGTCATGCTCACCGAGCAGTAGTTTATGATCTCCAGGAGTAATTGCTGGGAGGGGCAGTCCCTACATGCCCAGCAAAGCTCCAAGATGTCAAAGCATCAAAATTAGAGAACACAAAGACACAATTAATATACCTACTCACCATGACGGTCCCTTCTCAGTTATGAGTAGCTACATAACCTTGAATGAAAACCTCAAGTTCCTCATCTGCAGAATGAAGGGTTGAGGATTATAGCACATCCAAAAGCCCATTGTTTCATCCTTTGGGGAGGAAGCTTCTGACACTTTCTGCAACTTTTTCTCCATTGCCAGTCTCTTTGGGTTTGTTCCATTGGGAAGATGCACCATCAGCCCCGGGAAATCGTCCTGTCCCTGCATGCCTGTGGCACAAACGACACTTTCTCCATGTGGCTCCCGCACAAGGAGGGCAGGTCAGCAATGGGCCATCCTAGGACTTGACTTAATCTCTTTCATACGTGAACTTTTCTGCCCACGCTTGTATTCCTAACTCCTTTAACTGATGGGTGTTCTTGGGCACGTCGTCACTGATCCTGCAACTCTCCTAACTTCAGTTCTTGGTCTGAGCCAAGTGATTATTTGGTACAGTATATACGTCTGTGACCCATTGGGCAGGTGACATTTAGGAACACCAATGTGAAGGATAATTTAAAATAGCATCAACTTGTAAATGTAAGACAAAATAATGGCGGAGCCTCTGTTCTGCTACTTGAAAAAACAACTTCCCATTGTCTGTTGTAGCATTATGAATTGAGATGGCAGTGAAGGGGTGGCTGGAACTCTTATTTCTCCAGGCGAGAGAGGGAAGTCAAGCCCCCTGTATTGACATTGCTGCCAGGACATGAGCTATAAAGATTAAAAGATGAAAGTTTCCTCCATTTGACACGAACTAAGAACCATTCTAGAAACTTAAACTGTGTGGAAAATACCGTATGCTGATGTTCACTACGGAAAAAAATCACCAGGAACGGTGCTGCGCTGTTCAAAGTAGTTATTTATTCCCCCATAGATGAAGCAGGAAATTTCAATCGTGTGTGATTTTAAAGTTCTTAGAAAACTCCTATAAATTTTAAAAATAATTATAAAAACTATAAATTATAAAAATATTTCATAAATTTCATAAATATTGAGGTAAATCAGGACTTTTTTTTTGAGATGGAGCTTTGCTTTTGTCGCCCAGGCTGGAGTGCAGTGGCACGATCTTGGCTCACTGCAACCTCCGCCTCCTGGATTCAATCGATTCTCTTGCCTCAGCCTCCGAAGTAGCTGGGATTACAGGTACCCGCCACCAAGCCTGGCTAATTTTTGTATTTTTAGTAGAGACGGGGTTTCACCATATTGGCCAGGCTTGTCTCAAACTCCTGACCTCAGGTAATCCGCCTACCTCGGCCTCCCAAAGTGCTGGGATTATAGGTGTGAGCCACCGCGCCCGGCCTTAATCAAGACATTTTAAGGTTTCATGACTTGTAGGCGTCAGCATAGTTTACCATGCTGTTCCATTAATACAGAATTTATTCAGTCAAATGTAGAAAGCAGAAATAGTATTTCACTAAACACATGCACATTTTTGAATGTTAAATGAGTGGCAACTGGCAACCTAATTAGCATATCACTTTAATTCTGCTCCTTGGGTTACTGCTTGTGATGACCTAAATGTGGCTTTGCAACCCTTCAGGTTTAAAAGGGAACTAAGATGATCAGTGCTATAAAAACAAACAAAACACTCACTAATGCTTGGAGAGGAAAACCTTCAGATTCTGCTTCTTGAAAGGCTGGACCCATGTGGCACAGTCTAGAATGACATGGGGTTTCTTTTGGTTTTTTTTTTTTTTTTTTGGTTTTGGGTTTTTTTGTTTTGTTTTGTTTTGTTTTTTTTGAGATGGAGTTTCGCTCTTGTTGCCCAGGCTGCAGTGCAGTGGCGCAATTTCGGCGCACTGCGACCTCCGCCTCCTGTGTTCAAGCAATTCTGCTGCCTCAGCATCCCAAGTAGATGGGATTACAGGCGCCTGCCACCACACCCAGCTAATTGTTTTGTATTTTTAGTAGAGACGGGTTTCACCATGTTGACCAGGCTGGTCTCAAACCCCTGACCTCAGGTGATCCACCCACGTTGGCCTCCCAAAGTGCAGGGATTACAGGCATGAGCCACCGCACCTGGCCAAGAACAACATGTTAAACTAATGGAGCAGAGTGGCTGGCAGGTGGGGGTCTAAGTGTGGTGTAAAGAGCAGGAATAGTTAGAATTTACTAAGGGAAAAGGGCAATCTTGGCCATCCCCAGCAAAGGGTGATTTAAGAATTTGAAAACCCACTTCATTAAACCAAAAGACATTACCCAAAAATTGGGACTGTCTTATGTCTTCTTTATCTCTGACTCCCCTATTTCTTCTCTAGGACCGTAGTCCACTCCTTTCCTGCCTAAATGTCTTCATAATGCATATAGTTCCTTGGGTTCTTTAGTGACCTAAGAACTATGAAAAAGGTCTAAGATTCTGTTGAGCTTGGAAGCTAATGAGCCAGCCTGGCATGGTTTGATAGAAGTTGGTGGAGACACGATACTTCCCGGTCAGAGATAAGGGATGTTTATTACTCAGAGCAGCAGTAGTAGCCAGAGTGTCTGCATTCTTGCTCCAGTTCCCTGAACCCCATTTCCCACAGGGCAATGCAAAGAGGGCCAGAGGATACCTGCACATGCAACAGCTTACTTTATAGGAGAGAAACCCTGAGCTTCAGGGACCCTTATCTTTTCCGAGAGGCACCAAGCATGCCTGCTCTTTGCTCTAGAGGGAGACACTTCTCTGTCTTGCATAGCTATTCACTAAAGAAACATCCTTGAAGAGGGCCCGGCAAGGTGGCTCATGCCTGTAATCCCAGCACTTTGGGAGGCCAAGGCGGGTGGATTACCTGAGGTCAGGAGTTCAAGACCAGGCTGGCCAACGTGGTGAAACTCTGTCTCTACTAAAAATACAAAAAAAAAAAATATATATATATATATATAGCTGGGCGTGTGGGCATGTTGGCGTGTGCCTGTAATCCCAGCTACTCGAGAGGCTGAGGCTCGAAAATTGCTTGAACCCAGAAGACAGAGGTTGTAGTGAGCCGAGATCGCGCCACTGCCCTCCAGCCTGGGCGATAGAGCCAGACTGTCTCTCAAAAACAGAAACATCCTTAAAGAGATAGCTCAGAACAGACAGCACAGTCAGTATCTTGCCCACAATATGTGCAGAAGTACTTAAGAGACCCATGGAGAATTGTCTTGCCAATGGCTTCTGCTGTTCCTCCAGCTCTCCATGTCCTTGGGAATTTTCCACAGTGGGTATGAGAGAGAGAAAAAAGGAATCTTCCAAGAACCATAGCCAGGCATGGTCAGCTCCTTCCGTGAACTTTCTCAGGAGGTCTTTTGTAAACTTTCTGTAGACGCTTCGTGATCCTCATTCAAGAGTCAAATGTTGGGAAACAATCGGCTAATTATAAAAATGGCTAGCAGTGATTAAGCTCTCACTGTGCACAGCTGCAGTGTGTGGGAAGCACTGTACCCTTGAGATCTCACTAGAGCTCCATGAGATTATTATGGGCAGGGCCACTACCCCATTTCTTACAGATGAGAAAACTCTGCTTCAGAGCAGTAAGCCAGAAAGGGCAAAGATGACCATCAACTCTAGGTTGTCAGTCCAAAGCCCGGCACTCTGAATAGCATACTATCTTTTTCTAGTTTTTTTTTTGTTTATTTTTTTTGGGGGGTGGGAGGGGGTTCTTAACTGAGAAGCTTTTAGGGGGAAAGGGTGCTTTGGAGATTTTGTTTCACCAAATAAAGTTAGTGGAATGCTTGCAGGTGGGGAAAGATCAGGAATACTTTTGTTGCTAGCAGGCACCTCACAAAGTCACCAGGCAGTCCACCCACCAATCTTACAGTGTTTTCAAGAAGTTGGTATCCATATTTTCTGGACACAGAAATGACAGGTCAAGGAGGCTGTGAACTTGGCCAAGACCACGTGACTGGTTAAGTGAGGAGCCTAGAAACCAGCCCCAGACCATGTGGTCGTGAAATGTGCATTCTGTGCCCACTCCTCAGGAGGAATATTTGTAATGTAAATGCTAAAGTGCCCTAAAATATTTCAGCTTCATCTGAAACAGAAAAGAAAACTTTAATAATAGCTTCACTGTAGCTTGTTGAATATCTTTCTTGGAAAAGATAAGCCCATATGTATATGATTTAAGCACCGCACTGACTAAACTTCAGCTGCTCCAGGGACCTTTGTCTTGTTTTGTAATACTTCAAGTGTCAGAGAGCTTCACACACTTAGGCCATCCATAGTTTTCCAGCAAGCCCCTTCAGCTTGCCTTTTTGCCCTTTTTTGTTTGTTTGTTTGTTTGTTTGTTTGAGATGGAGTCTCACTCTGTTGCCCAGGCTAGCTCGGTTCACTGCAAGCTCTGCCTCCCGGGTTCACACCATTCTCCTGCCTCAGCCTCCCAAGTAGCTGGGACTACAGGCACCCACCACCACGCCCGTCTAATTTTCTGTATTTTTAGGAGAGACAGGGTTTCATCGTGTTAGCCAGGATGGTCTCAATCTCCTGACCTCATGATCCGCCCACCTCGCCTCCCAAAGTGCTGGGATTAGAGGCATGAGCCACCGCACCCGGCCCATTTTTTTTTAATTCTAAAATAATTAATGAGTCAGTTTCTTCACTACTGGCTCCCACGTAGCACTTTCTAACTGGTCTCTTCCCAGAGAGAGTAATGACTTGCTAAAAGTCATCATCATCATCGTCATCTTAAAGCTGCTTTTTCAAAACAGGTATGTAATTTTGCTCTTGTCCCAGCCCTAAGCCCTAGACAAAAAAACAAAAAAAACAAAAACAAAAACTGTAAATGCATATCTATAGATAAAGACAGACCTGGAAACACCCAAGACACACAGAATCTTTCCCCCACCAGTTTAGGTTGCCTTGGCAACCGTTCCACTGGTGCCTTCCAACAGATCTTTGAAGCTGGCAAAGGTGTGTACATTAATTTCATAGACATGCTTAATACTGCTCATTAACTAAGCAGTTCCCAGATTCTTCCAGATTCTCATAAGGGGACTTTGTGCCTTCATGAAAAATTTAAAATATCAACAAAACTGGCCTGGCGCGGTGGCTCACACCTGTAATCCCAGCACTTTGGAAGGCTGAAGCAGGCGGATCACCTGAGGTCGGGAGTTTGAGACCAGCCTGGCCAACGTGGCGAAACCCTGTCTACTAAAAATACAAAAATTCACCGGGCGTGGTGGTGCGTGCCTGTAATCCCAGCTACCCAGGAGTCTGAGGCAGGAGCATCACTTGAACCTGGGAGGTAGAGGTTGCAGTGAGCCGAGATCATGCCACTGCACTCCAGCCTGGGTAACAGAGTGAGACTCTGTCCCAACACAAATAAGTAAATAAAATACCAATGAAACAGAAGCATGTTGGGGTGGCTTGTTGTGGGGATTTCTTTAGAAATCCTTGTGGGTCCTCTGGTCACCACAGTGTTGCATCACCATCATTTTCTTGTTCAGTGGAGCAGGGTATTGTATGAAGCTCAGTAAATGCATTTTCCATATTTACATTTCCGTGGTATAGTCACTAGATACTTTACCATATCTGAGAAAAGTGAAGATATTAGCTTTATGGATATACATTGCTTCTTATGGAAAAGTTCTTAAAAGTTGGAACTATGGCTTTTGCTTTTGTTTTTTGGAGCCATATGTAGCATCGTTTTGGTGCTTCGATTCTTATTTCTTTCGAACAGTTACATTCTTTTATTTTAAATTAGTTTAAATATTTTGGAGAAGTTTCCCGAGATAAGTACAGTAATCCTATTTTCATATAGACCTTTAAAGCTACATCTAAGTATTTCTGATACTACATCAAGAAGACTGGTTGATTCATGGCCGGGTGTGGTGGCTCACGCCTGTAATCCCAGCACTTTGGGAGGCCGAGGCAGGCGGATCACCTGAGGTCAGGAGTTTGAAACCAGCCTGGCCAACACAGTGAAACCCTGTCCCTACTAAAAATACAAAATTAGCCGGGTGTGGTGGCAGGTACTTGGAAGCCCAGCTACTGGGGAGGCTGAGACAGGAGAATCGCTTCAACCTGGAAGGCGAAGGTTGCAGGTTGCAGAGGGCCAAGATTGTGCCATTGAACTCCAGCATGGGTGACAAGAGTGAAACTCCATCTCAAAAAAGAAAAAGAAAAAAAAAAAGAAGATTGGGAGTTTTGCTGTCAAATGTATATCTCATGAGATAACTTTTTTAGATGAGATTGTAGGAAGATTCTGTTAATTTTGCTTGTGAACATTAATTTTGCTTTTGAACACTTGGTTGTATGTGTAAGTTGTACAGTTGGAGCAGGTAAGTCCAGCAACAGTTTTCAAATTATCCTGGTATATTTCCCTAAATAACCCTTGATTAGTTACAAGAACATAGCTATTTTATAGTAGCTCTTCTAGCATTATATGCATATGGAACCAGCCCTAGAAAACCTCATTTTGTACCGGGTCCAGTAATAGAGAATGAACTTCTGCTGTTTAACTTATTAGGGTAACAGGATTCTTAGCCACAAAGCTGTGGGAGATAGTTCGTATTTTCGATTTCCATTACAGAGTGTTTAAATTGAGGGAAAGATGTCCCATCACTCAAATAAAGTAGAAAATCAGAGTATGTCTATATGTATCTAACATGATCTCTTTAATTGCTGAACTTCTATGAATATTTGTTATTGTATATTTCACCATTCTTGGCAACATGGTGCTGTTGGTTGTTAAGTGTTGTTAATGGGAGGATCATCAATTTGATCCTCATACAAATTTCTTATGGGAAGCAGCAGAAATCCACTGATTGTTTGCCCAGAGATATCCTGGTAGCACTGCCAAGACAGAAGTTTATGCATTAGAGGGATAGAGAGATGCAGGGATTGGGGTGAGAAAGAGTACGTTATGTGTAAGTTCTATCAAGACTGTGATGGCAGCCAGGTGCGGTGGTTCATGCCTGTAATCCCAGCATTTTGGGAATCCGAGGTGGGTGGACCACTTGAGGTCAGGAGTTTGAGACCAGCCTGGGCAACATGGCAAAATCCCGTCTCTACTAAAAATACCAAAATTAACCAGGCGTGGTGGTGTGCTCCTGTAATCCCAGCTACTTGGGAGGCTGAGGTAGGGAGAATTTCTTGAACCTGGGAGGCAGAGGTTGCAGTGAGCCAAGGTCGTGTCTCTGCACTCCAGCCTGGGTGACACAACAAGACTCCATCTCAAAAAAAAAAAAGAAAAAAAGCTCTAATACACGCCCTTCAGAGGATGAGCAGCCGGTAGGAGCCACCAGTGTAAATAGCACTGTACTGTGGTCTCTTCTCATCCTATTTCAAACTGAAGCTGTAGCTGTCGAGTCTACCACATGGCTGCCTTTTCACGAGGTTTAACATAAGCATCAGTTGCCTGAGATGATAGAACACAGAAAGGCACACAGTGGTACTCTAAGTTCCAGCAGATTTTTCTCTTCCATGCGTCTCCAATGAGGTCATTCAAATGGATGTCTAGAGACTGTAAACTTCCACTGAAATCTAAGGAACATGTTTCAAAAAAAGAACCCCACATAGGTGGGGATTCTGTATCAGACACTGGGGCCGCAGATCCATAGTGAGGTTCAGGGCACCTCTTGGTACAATCAAGAGTGAAAGGTGCCTACGTGGAGAGGGGACCCAGGAAGCTAGGGGGGGTTCTAGTGCCCAGCGTATTCGTCTCTCTGAAGTATGCCTGCACAGTCCTTTCTCTTCTGGATGACAGTAGTCTTGGTCTTTGCGGAGGAACATCAAACTGAATGTTGTTTTCAGAATTAAACACACACAAGGATTGCCAAATGCTTTAGTGCAGCTAGAAATTGCATATAAGGGAGTCCTCAAATGTACAAGTTGTAACAGATTCTTATTGAGATGTATTCTATATAGATTAATAAAGTATATGATATATTATGAGATACATATTAAATAATCTGTTATATGTTACATAACATATAGATTATACTTTAAAATATATAAATATAATTTCCTTGGATGACATGATTGGCTAAATTTTGGGTAGAAAATAAAATAGAATAATACAAGGTGCATGTGCACTATGTGAGTCTGGAAAAAATTACATGAAAACTCCAGTGTAACAGAGTGCATCCTAATTTCATCAGATTACACAGGAAAACCTCTATGTTTATAAAAGAAGTATAAATAGAAAGCCACCCCTTCACGCATTAGGCATCCTGGAACATGCTTTATAAAGACATGGAAATTCAATGCACATGCTGATATTGTAAAATTCTAACACCAAGTAACATGGGGCAAAACCTCGTAGAGCAAAGGTCAGGTAACATTTTTACAATAACCTCCTATTTGGAAAATGTTTTTAAGTGATCAAGCAGTTTTCTGGTGTTCTATTTAAGAGATGAAAAGCCGTCGTAACTCCCCTAAATTGGGGTTAAATGTAGCTAATCATGGTGCTAAGGAGAGAGGCTCCTTTTCAGCTGGCCTCCCTGGCCCAGGCAGCCACAGGAGTGCTGGGCTACTTGGGGTGAGAGCATTTGCATGGCCTGCTTGGTGGGAATGGGCCTTTCTTCTACCCAGACCCAGTGGCCAGCCCATAAAATGCTGGGTTCCCCACTACTAGGGTGAGTTGCTGTGGAAACCAACAGCTCTAAAAACCAAAAGGAAAGAAAAAATGAAAATCCCAGAACAAAGGCCAATTTGAGGAAATAGAAAAGGGAATGAAAAGCGGTTAAGAGGAAGCCAAAAACTTCACAGAAACAAACAAATGAAACAAATTTAAAAAATGGAGCCCACAAACTTTACTTTCCCTTTTAAGATAGGGCCAGAGTTTGTTAGAATAAATATGAGAAATGAGAAGGGCAGACTGTGCAGAAAGCAGGTGGAAGCTGTACTCCCAGCTCTGGTGCCAGAAAAACCATAAAAGATTTTATGTTTTGGAATAGTACATGTTTTGGAATTTGGAGGCAAAGTTATAAACTAAATGCATCCTATCGTTTATAGAAAAATAACAAAAGGTATGCATTATTTGACAAAGTGGGGATTAAAAACAAGGCATGCTGGCCGGGCGTGGTGGCTCACGCCTATAATCCTAGCACTTTGGGAGGCCGAGGCAGGTGGATCACCTGAGGTCAGGAGTTCAAGACCAGTCTGGCCAACATGGTGAAACCCCCGCCTCTACTAAAAATAAAAAAATAAAAATAAATAAAAAATAAGTTAGCTGGGCATGGTGGCAGGTGCCTGTAATCCCAGTTACTTAGGAGGCTGAGGCAAGAGAATTGCTTGAACCCTGGAGGTGGAGGTTGCAGTGAGCCGAGATCGCGCCACTGCACTCCAGCCTGGGCAACAAGAGCAAAACTCTGTCTCAAAAAACAAAACAAAACAAAAACAAAAAACAAGGCATGCCTTCAGATGGTCCCTCAAAGTTTGTCGGCAGTTTTGTCAAATACCGACAGGGAGCTTCTTCCATGTGCCTGTAAATTATGCACCCTAATTCCTTCCTCTTGTTCACTCTTAACTCGCTACTTAGAGGAGCCTCCTCCCAAGCCAACAATTGGAAACAGCCTTGTCGCATTTAGTTCTAAATCTGTGGCAGTTAGAAAGGAAATGACTAAAAGATAATGCTGGACTGAAAGATGATGTTTAGTTTTCTACCCACAAAGCAGATGCTCTTTGTACTACTTAAAATGGACCAGTTTGTGCCCACAGAGCCACACTCTTCATGTTTGCCAAGAGCAGAGGAGCTCTGAATCGTGGTAGGGGAAGAATTCCTGAGCGCTCGTTTCTTCCTCCTTGGCTCTGCAATTGGCTGATAAAAATTGAAGAATATGCTAGAGGCGATGGCTGAATTCCTGATGGTGAAATAAATTCATGGATGAGAGTGTGTAGCAAGAAGAGGTGTGAGCACACACTCCCGGGGTCCACGACCTTGGGCAGGCAGACAGAACTGGAGCCCATGGTGGGTACTGAGAAGGAAGGTGCACGGTGGAAGGAGAGCCATGAGGTGCAGTTTCAAAGAGATGGTCCCCAGCTAGATAGAATCATGCCAGGATAGCACAGAACCCGAGCAGGGCAAGCAGCACTGCCCATCTAGCTGGTTTAATGAGAAAAGACATTTATTACAGCTTTTGGGTAGCACACAGAACTTGTGGGAGGAGGAGGCTCACAGCCAGAACAGTGTCTGAGCTGTGTGGTGTGACTCTTCCGGGAGCACCCCTGCTGCTCCCAACCAGATGCCTCCTCTGCGGTCCCTTTGGCCAGAAAAAGGCCCTGCTTCTTCATGCTGCTGACTTCCACATCAAATTCTGCCAACCAGAATGAGCAGAGCCACAGCTTAGCAGAACCGCAGCCCATTTTTTCTCCTTCTTAGCTACAGGGGAGGCTGGGAAAATGAGCATCTGGTATTCCTCAAAGGGAGGAAGACTATTTCAGAAGGTGCCACAAAGACTCATCTGCCCGTGGTACCCACCCTTCCAGCACCAGCTTCAATTTCATCTCTTCCAAGAAGCATTATTCCTCCCTGACCTCCGTAAACCACAATCAGGGCCAGTTTGCATGCAGTGAGTACCCAGATAGCCACGACCCTTCATAGTATCAGTGTTCACACCATACCCTTCCTTAAATCTTTTGATGATCCCCCCCACCTCTATGAATGCATTCAGATCTTGTTTGCATCTTTGATTCTGTTTTTGCATGGAAACTCCAAATCAGATTAACCTCATCTTTGCTATATATATATATATTTTTTTTTTACAGGTTCCTAGCCAGTTTCATTCTTTTTGCTTTCTGGCACATTTGTTGGTCTTTCCTCCCCGCAAAACCGTAAACTCCTTAAAAACAGGAGGCATGTCTTTTTTTCTCCTTCTTTTTTAATCTCCCTGCAGTACCTTGTATCATGCTAAGCATATAGCAGCTGGTCAATAAATATTTTCTGATTATTTACAGTTAGTTACATGGATTGATTAATACTTTTCAAATAGATCTCTATATTATCTATTTTTAAAGTAGTTATAAGAAATAAATGGAACAACAACAAAATACCAGGAATACTTAGGCCATGGATCAGAAGATACCCAGAAATGCCTACTCGTTTTAGAGATTAATTCAGCATCTACATTAGGTGACTACTGTGTGCCAGACATTATTCTATATGCTTAGGATGTGTGAATGAAGAAGAAAACAGAAACACAAAATAACTGTCTCAAAGTTTCCATCTGGTAGAGTTTAATAATAAACATATGAGTTATGAGCATGTTATAATTAATCAATGTCACGCATAAAAAGCAGAAGCAGAGCAGGAGAATATCAGAAATTTGGGGTGAGGCTGGGATCGACGTTTTAGACAGAATAGTAAGAATTATTTTTAAAAATGTTTTTAGGTAATCAAAAAAAATTGAATAAGTGCTGGGTATTAGATGATATAAGGAGATTATTACTTTAGTTAGGCATGATAATTGTGTTTTGGTGGTGGTTTAAAAGAAATCCTTATCTGTTTTAAGTGGGAATATTTATGGTGGTCGGTGCAGTGGCTCACCCCTGTAATCCCAGCATGTTGGGAGGACGAGACGGGTGGATTGCTTGAGTCCGGGAGTTCAAGACCAGCCCGGGCAATGTGGCAAAACCCGCATCTCTGCTAAAAATATAAAAAGTTAGCCTGGCATGGTGGTGGCATGTCCCTGTAATCCCACCTACATGGGAGGCTGAGGTGGGAGGATCACTTGAGCCCGGGTTGGGGAAGTTACAGTGAGCCAAGATCGTGCCACTGCACTCTAGCCTGGGTAATAGAGCCAGATCCTGTCTCAAAAAACAACAGCAAAAAATTTCCAGGGAAATAATATAACCTAATATGATATCTGGAATTTGCTTCAAAATGTTTCAGCAAAAAAGTGGGGATGGTGGGAGCAATGCATGAAAGAAAGAATGGCAGAAAGATGACACTATTTGAAACTTCCTATCAGGACAGGTTTGGGAGGAAGGTCCTTGTACTGTTCTTTCTACTTTTATGTTTCTGTGTTCTGAAAGTTTGTTTTCCCCTCAAGTTCACATATGGAAATCTTAACCCCCAAGGTGAAGGTATTAGGAGGTGGGGTCTTTTGGGAGGACATCAGGTCATGAGGGGGGAGCCATTGTGCATGGGATTAGTGTGCTTGAGAGACCCCAGAGAGCCCCCTCATCCCTTCCACCACGTGAGGATGCAGTGAAAAGGTGAGCCCTCACCAGATACCTAATCTGCCCTAACCTTGGACTAACCAGCTACCTGAACTTAAGAAATACATTCCTGTTGTTTTTTAGCTTCCCAGTTTATGGGGTTTTGTTATAGCAGGCTAAACAGACTAAAATATATGCATTCTAGAATTTCCATGTTGAAAATTTTTAAAAAAGAGTGACAGTGATAGGATAGCCTCATCAAGGAGGTGGTACTGAAACAAAGACAGGGAGGTGTGGGTCTCAGCCGCATGGCTGGGTATCTGGGGGAGAGTGCGCCAGGCCAGGGCACAATTGGAGCAGAGCACGTTCACCGTACCTGGCCTCCCTGCAAGTCCCTGAATGGGGAAAGTTTAGCAAGTGAGGGCAGGAGGTGATACAGCTGGGGAGGAGGGGTGGGAAGAGATCAAACAGGGCCTTTTAAGCCACTGAAGGACTTGAGTGAAGGCCTGATCCACAAGGGCTGTGAAGACACCACTTCAGAGTCACGCTCAGGTAGATTTTCCTTGGGAGTTCATTGAGCCATTTGGATACCATGGATTTCTTGACTCAGATTCGGAGATCAGAATTGTCCAAAGGAACTTTCTGCAATGATAGAAATATCCAGTCTGCACTCTCCGACGCAGGAACCGCTAGCCAGTCACGGCTGTTGAGCGCTTACAATGAGCCTAGTGTTACCAAGGAGCTCGATTTTTAAATTAATTTAATTTTAATTAATTTAAACAAGTGTATATGCTCACATGTGGCTGATGGCCCCTATATCAGGTAGTGTTGTGTTAAGAGATGGTTAGTTTCACCCCAGCATTCATTTTGCAAACTTTTATTGACCACCTGCTGGCTCTAGGTACCAGCTAGGCCTCACAGTTATAAATTGAATTTTTTAAAAATAAGCCCCTATTCTTGAGGGGCTCATGGGCCACCCCAGACCCTCTAAAATAGTGGTATGGCCGGACGTGGTGGCTCATGCCTATAATCCCATCACTTTGGGAGGTTGAGGCAGGAGGATCGCCTGAGCCCAGAAGTCTGAGACCAGCCTGGGCAACAGGGCAAAACCCTGTCTCTACAAAAATACAAAAATTAGCTGGATGTGGTGGTGCATGCGTGTGGTCCCAGCTACTTGGGATGCTGAGGTGAGAGGATCGCTTGAGCCTGGGAGGTCAAGCCTGTAGTAAGCTAAGACTCTAAACAAAACAAAACGGCGGTACATGGGTGGCCCAGACCCCTCATCTTCAGTCACAAGGGCCCCTGCACAAAGCTCTCTCCGTGGGAGTTTTAATTCAGTGGTAAACAACCTGGTCGTTCTCATCTCAGGACACCCCTTTGCCTGGCTGGTCCCTGTGTCTCCTCCAGGCCTAAGCTAAAATGACACCTCCTCAAGAAGGCCTCCCCTGACCACCCAGTTGAAAATAGGTTCCCCGTTCTGCCTTGTGTCACCCAGTTTTCCTTGGGGCACTTCTTCCAGTTCAGAATGACACTTCAGTATGTATTTAATCAATAAAGCTAAAGCTCCTGAGGGTCAGGGGTCTGGTCTCTGTTGTACACCCCCACAGTTGGCCCAAGGTGAAACAGACAGAAATGGAAATGGACAAGAAACAGAGACCATGTGTCTGGAGAGCTTCAGGGAAATGCAGGGTTGCTGAGTCCGGCCAGAGTACTTTCTTGAATCCACCTTACTGCAGCCTTTTAAAGGAAAAAGAGGAATTAGCAACATGGAAGGGAAGTGTAGAAAAACATTGCCTTCAAAGGCAATAAGCTGTGGCAGGAAGGAACAGGAAGGAGGAGCCGAGGGCAGGGGATGGGGTCAGGTGGGGTGGCTGGTGCAGGACAGGAGGCTTCTGGGATGGATCCTGTCCCTTGAGTGTGGTGGCTTTTTTTTTTTCACTCTGTCATCCAGGCTGGAGTGCAATGGCGTGGTCTCGGTTCACTGCAACCTCTGCCTCCTGGGTTCAAGCAATTCTCCGGCCTCAGCCTCCCAAGTAGCTGAGACTACAAGCGTGTACTACCACACCCAGCTAATTTTTGTATTTTTAGTAGAGACGGGGTTTCACTATGTTGGCCGCACTGGTCTCAAACTCCTGACCTCGTGACCCGCCCGCCTCGGCCTCCCAAAGTGCTGGGATTACAGGCGTGAGCCACATGGCCTTCCTTTTTCTCTAAAGGGCCAAAAGTAGTGAGTTCAGGCTTTGCAGCCCTTATGGTCTCCGTGGCAACTTCTAAAGTCTGCTGTTGTAATGCAAAACCAGCCCATGCAAATGATGGGGCGTGGCTGTGTTCCAATAAAACTTTATAGACACTGAAATTTAAATTGCAGATAATTTTCATGGACTGTATACAAAAGCAGGCAGCAGGCCACATTTGGCCTGAGGGCAGGCCGAAGTTGCTGCACCTGGTACAGGTGACAGTGGGGACGCATCGAAGGGTTTGAGGGAGACAGGGAGAGGTCAGCTGAGTGTATTGGATAGCTCCCTCCAGCCTCAGTGGGATCTCAGGGCTCAGGTCTGAAGAGGGTGACTGTTTTGGTAAAGTTGCTGAGCAGCAGTGTGGGTGATGGATGGTGAAGGCCTGGAAATAGGGCAGTGTTCACGAGGGTACAAAAGAAAGGCCTGCTTTGAGATGCAGAGTTTGCAGTCAAAATGAGCAGACTTTGGTGATGGATGTGCAGGGTATGGAGTGAGAAAAGGATGTCCCAGTCTGGGTTTTGTGCAGTCTTCAGGTGACCAACTCAGCGGGGTCCTCAGTACTCACTGAGCAGCAAAGAGTGCACCCTAGGGCATATTTAGGTCTGGGACCGTTTATGGGGTCTTCCTATAAATGAGAGTCATGTAGTAACTAATGCCTTGCCTAGTCAGATGACAGCTGCCCTGGTTGTCATTTAGTTAGGGATAGTTTTGTTTGCGGTTGAATGGAGAGTCCCATTCTCAGTGTTATTCTATAACGATGATGCCCCTGTGGGCTGTAAGAATTACCGAATCAGGCCGGGTGTGATGGCTCACACCTGTAATCCCAGTGCTTTGGGAGGCCAAGGCAGGCAGATCACCTGAGGTCAGGAGTTTGAGACCAGCCTGACCAACATGGAGAAACCCTGTCTCCACTAAAAATACAAAAGTAGCCACGCGTGATGGCGCAAGCCTGTAATCTCAGCTACTTGGGAGGCTGAGGCAGGAGAATCGCTTGAACCCGGGAAGTGGAGGTTGCAGTGAGCCGAGACTGTGCCATTGCACTCCAGCCTGGGCAACAAGAATGAGACTCTGTCTCAAAAAAAAAAAAAAAAAAAAAAAAAAGAATTACCGAATCATACTGACATTTTGTTCTCTCTGATCATACCAAGCGAAGAACTAAACAATCTCTTTTAACGTATATAATTGTAGAACTTAAACTATCCTTCCCATATTAGAAGAAATTCAAGTGGTAGAATCTAGGGTGTTGATTAGAGTGGAACTCCGCCTTTCTCTGTTTATTCATAAATCTTCTTTTCCCTCAAATCTCAGCAGTTTTTGCCTTCTTAGCAAACAGTGAAGACCTTGTAATCCCAATTGTTAGTAAATGTTGCATTTCCATAAAATTGCATAAATCATCAATGCAGGATTTCTGCTATGTGGTTATTAATGCACCATGAGTTAATTTATGTTATAATTTAGTATACTACTTAGGTAAAGACTACACACTGGATTCAGTGTATACTGCTCGGGTGATGGGTACACCAAAATCTCACAAATCACCACTAAAAAACTTACTCATGTAACCAAATACCACCTGCTCCCCAAAAACCTATGAAAAAAAAAAGGACTACCATTTTATCCATCAATCCCACTACCGGTATCTACCCAGAACAAAAAAAGTTATTATGTGAAAAAGATGCTTGCATATGCATGTTTATAGCAGCACCATTTGCAATTGCAAAAAATATGAAACCAGCCCAAATGCCCGTCAGTCAATGAGTGGATAAAGAAAATGTGGTATATATATACTATGGAATACTTATCAGCCATGAAAGGAATGAAATAATTACATTTGCAGCAACCTGGAAGGAATTGGAGACCATTATTCTAAGTGAAGTAACTCAGGAATGGAAAACCAAACATCGTTTGTTCTCACTCCTGAGTGGGAGCTAAGCTATGAGGATGCAAAGACATAAAGAATGATACAGTGGATTTGGAGGACTCAGGGAAAAGGGTGGGAGAGGGTGAGGGATAAAAGACTACCCATTGGGTACAGTGTACACTACTTGGGTGATGGGCGCACCAGAATCTCAGAAATCACCGCTAAAGAACTTACTCATGTAACCAAACACCACCTGTTCCCCTAAAACCTACGGAAATAAATAAATAAAAATTTAAAATTTATAAGAGGAATAGTATACTACTTGGGGACACAGAGGACCAAGTTAAATAAGAAAATGTGTGTGGGGGAACCAGGCACGGTGGCTCACGCCTGTAATCCCAGCACTTTGGGAGGCCAAGGCGGGCAGATCACCAGGTCAAGAGATCAAGACCATCCCGGCCAACGTGGTGAAAGCCCGTCTCTACTAAAAATACAAAAATTAGGTGGGCGTGGTGGCAGGCGCCTGTAGTCCCAGCTACTCTGGTGGCTGAGGCAGGAGAATCGCTTGAACCTGGGAGGCAAAGGTTGCAGTGAGCCAAGATCGCGCCACTGCACTCCAGCCTGGGGACAGAGCGAAACTCTGTCTAAAAAAAAAAAAAAAGAGGCCGGCGCGGTGGGTCACACCTGTAATCACAGCACTTTGGGAGGCTGAGGTGGGCAGATCACGTGGTCAGGAGATGGAGACCATCCTGGCTAACACGGTGAAACCCTGTCTCTATTAAAAAATACAAAAAATTAGCCGGATGTGGTGGCGGGTGCCTGTATTCCCAGCTACTCGGGAGGCTGAGGCAGGAGAATGGCGTGAACCCGGGAGGCGAAGCTTACGGTGAGCCGAGATCGCACCACTGCACTCTAGCCTGGGCAACAGAGTGAGACTCCATCTCAAAAAAAAAAAAAAAAAAGAAGAAGAAAATGTGTGTGTATGTGTCGTGCACATCCTGATTGGATTGAAGTGAATTGACTAAATGTATTCTGTAATATCATATCCTTGATTTTCATGATGCTGATTTGTCCCTTTTTGGATGTTAGTTTTCTCCTATAGTATGAAGTAGCCAAGATTGGTTTCTGTAGCATTTATTTGTTCTTGCTAAAACATTTTAAGAGATTTATTTGGTACACACCCATAGCTCAGAGCTCCTCAAAGGCAGGTGAATGATTTAGCTAGGTCTAGGATTCTTTAGCTCTTGTCTATGGTTATCTACTCAAGAAATGTATTAAATCAGCATGTGGAAAAAATGGGTGAAAGATGATTGACTAACTGAAATTTGCAGTATTGAAAAGACTGCTTTAGTATCATGAGACAGCTAGTTGGCAAGTTACCAAGGTGGAGATTCTCAAACCAAAAGAAGTTCTTCTCTATATGGTTGCCCCAGTGTAGGATAGAGCTCTGGATATAAAGATGTTAATACTCAGGCCAGGCGCGGTGGATCATGCCTGTAATCCCAGCACTTTGGGAGCCCGAGGTGGGTGGATCACCTGACATCAGGAGTTCAAGAGCAACCTGGCCAACATGGTGAAACCCTGTCTCTACTAAAAGTGCAAAAAATTAGTGGGGCATCGTGGCGGGCACCTGTAATCCCAGCTACTCGGGAGGCTGAGGCAGGAGAATTGCTTGAACCCAGCAGGCAGAGGTTACAGTGAGCTGAGATCATGCCATTGCACTCCACCCTGGGTGGCAAGAATGAAACTCCATCTAAACAAACAAACAAACAAAGGTATTAATACTCTCTGAGAGGGTTGTCTCACCTGTCCCTTTTGTTTTATATATTTCTTCTTTCTAACTCTCCTCTCTGAGCCCCAAATCTGGTATCCCCAAGCACCATGTTGGAATGTTTACAAGCATCATGATTGGAATGACACAATTGCAGTAGCTTGTGTCGGTGCTTACTGCACCAGGCATTACACTAAATGTTTCTACCTATATGTTGAGCTATGCATGTTTATCATTCCCAGTTAGCAAATGGGGAAACTGGGGCCTAGAGATGATAAATAAACTGCCCAAGGCTACATGGCTAGCACATGGTGGAGCTGAGATTCGAACCTCCAGTGAGAATTGCAGAACCCCAGGGTGTGTGCCACTGGGCAATACCTGCAAGGCTGACCCAGCACTCCTTCCTCATCCTCGCTGTCAGGCTGCTCTGTACCCAGCCAGCCTGCAGCCGGCTCATTGATGGTCACTCCACTGAGCCCCACTCTGGAAGGTGCTATGAACACAAGCCTCCTTGGCCACCTCCTCGCTTTTTGCTAGTCCTTTCCCCACCTTCCTATCCCAAGTCTTTCAGATCAGAGGCAGCTCAAAAAGCATGGCATGTGGTGCCTGCAAGTGACCAGGTGGACATACATCACACCAGCTGCTTGCTTCCTACTTAAGAAAATAGGGTTTCTGGGAGCAGGATGCACTTCTGAGTTGCTCCCCCACATAGTTCTGGAATCAGCACCCTTGACGTGATAGTTCTGCTGGAGTCTGGTCTACCACCATCTCAGTTCTGGGTTATCACAGAGTCCTCTTAATTGAATGCTTATTCTCCAGCCTTGCCTCTTCCTCAGCCCATTCTTCACCCAGAGCCACATGTTTCTGTAACATAAATTTGATCTCCACTCCCCTCTTAAAACCTTTGTGACTTCCCATTGCCTTTAGAATAAAGAATAATCCTTTTACGGAGCTCATAAAGCCATGTGTGATCTGGCCTTACTTGCCTCTCCAGCCTCCTACGCCTCTCACGCTCTCCATCCAGCTTTCAGAACCTGCCATTGTTTCTCCAGGAAACATGGCGTCTTCCTGCCTCTAAGCCTCCACACATGCTGTTCCCCCTCAGCCATGGTACTTTCCTGTTTACTCACGCATCCTCTCCTTCACTGTAGCTGTGTAGTTACAATTCTAGGCACAGAGTAAAAGTTCGGTAACTATCCCTTGCCTGAGTAAATGTAAATTAGCCATTCTATTTTAATTTTTTAGCAATTTGTAACATTCTGTTTGTTTCCCAGATTCATGATCTGTTTTTGCCAATATTCCTAACTTGACTTCATCTGTCTTTTCAAACGTTTGCTTTTTTTTTTTTTTATTCTTTTTCTAACCTTCTCTTGTTCTACTCTTTGGGTCCTCCCTTTTAACAATAGTTTTCACTTCTTTTCAGTCTAGCCTTTGTGATTACCAGTGCACAATCCTGGGTTACTTCTGCCACATTTCCCAGGACTAGAGAAGGATACGGCAGCTTGCAAATACCATGGCCCACTGTGCCCTTACTGTGGTAGCCCAAACACCATTGAAAGAGTATTGTTGTCTGGGCACGGTGGGGCACACCTGTAACCTCAGCACTCTGGGAGCCTGAGGCGGGCAGATCGCTTGAGCCTCAGGAGTTTGAAACCAGCCTTTGCAACATGGCAAAACCCCATCTCTACAAAAATTAGCTCAGTGTGGTGGCACACACCTGTAGTCCCAGCTACTCAGGAGGCTGAGGTGGGAGGATCAGTTGAGCCCAGGAGATCGAGACTGCAGTGAGCCATCATCACGCACCTGTACTCCAGCCTGTGCAACAGAGTGAGACTGTTTCAAAACACACACACACACACACACACGAAGTATTGCATTGGTTGCCCAATGTTTAAAAGTATAGAATTTTTCTCTTGATCATTTGTTGATTTGAGCAGGCAGTAGTAAAGAAGAAAGCAGTTTGGGTCAGGCTGTGGTTTTGAAGAAAATGGGAAATTGTGTGAAGTAAAAAGTAGACCTGTAAGGAGAAAATGTCTCTGGTAAAAACTGCATATTTTGAGTGTCAACCTTGATGTCCTTACAGAGCCCTCCTTCCACTTCCCATCACAGTCATACCAGAGTTGCTATGAATGTTTCCCATTGACAGTAGCTGTTCTTTGTGCTTTCTCTACCTCCAGAGGTGACGTTAAAGGTGCACATCAGCGACGCCAGCACCCACCAGCCCGTAGCAGATGCGCTCATCGAGATCTTCACCAACCAGGCCTCCATAGCCTCTGGCACCTCGGGGACTGATGGCGTCGCCTTTATCAAGTTCCAGTATAAGCTGGGCAGTCAGTTGATTGTCACCGCCTCGAAGCATGCCTACGTGCCAAACTCTGCCCCATGGAAGCCAATCCGGTTACCTGGTAAGGCGTTCCTCATCTTTCTTTAACACAGAGGGCATTGGCTGGTGGGAGGATCGCATAAGGCCAGGAGTCTGAAACCAGCTTGGGCAACATAGTGAGACTGCATCTCTACAAAAAAATTTAAAATTAGCCAGGCATCATAGTGTGCACCTGTAGTCCCAGCTACTCAAGAGGTTGAGGTGGGAGGATTGCTTGATTCTGGGAGTTCGAGACTGCAGTGAGCCATGGTGACACCACTGCAGTCTAGCCTGGGCAACAGAACAAGACCCTGCTTCAAGAATAAAATGAAATAAAATAAATAAAAACATACAGATTCCAGAACTCCACCATTCAATATGGGGAGGGGAATTTGCATTTTAACGAGCAAACGCCTCTCCCCCTCCACCAGATACTGTGAATAAAAATATTTAGCAAAGCTTGAGGCCACTGCTTTTTGATCTATGGAAAGTGGATTTGATACAGATACAATGGAGATCATCTAGGAGAGTTCATAAGAAAAGGGGATAAACCTGAGAGATATTAAGCAGGTCTTGGAGAATGGACAGGAGAGAGGGAAGGAAAAGGATGAAATAGAAGGAATGTGAGTTGGACTTCGGGTTTTCAGCTGGTGACAGAGCAGTTGGTCCCAGCAGGGGCAAGCTGTGGAGGTGGGTATCTGGCCACACCACGTTTTCCTAAAGTTGATTGCACTGATGGTGTGAATTAAAGAAGTCTCCTCCCTCACTCCCTCCCTCCCTCTGTAACTCCCTCTCCCTAGGCTTAGGCAAAGATGGACAGAGCTTTGGGGAAATGGGAGGAGAGGAATGGGTGTCGCAGTCATTGATTATAAGCTAAGTTTAGGGTATATTTAGTTCAAATTGCTGCTGGGACACCAAGTGAGCATATTCGGCCTTTAGTTTGAAATGAACTTGGGGTTCAAGAGAGAGATCTGGGCTAGAGGTTTAGTTTGGCTTATCAGCAGTGTTAACTATTATCTCCAGCAGAGGGTGGAGGACAGTGGGCCTGAGACAGGACCCCAGGAGAGCCCACACAACAGGACAGGTGGCCTTTACTAAGTTATATCCAAGGGAACATTAGAGTCGAGTCTGCAGTGAGCTGAGATGGTGCCACTGCACTCCAGCCTGGGTGACAGAGGAAGACCCTGTCTCAAAAAATAATAAAATAAATTAAAATAAAGGAAGCATTTGACACTCCCATGGTCCATGCTGAGAAGTCACTGGAAATCACTGAGGGACGTTTAGGCTGTCTCTGCCTGTTTCAGGAGAACAGCTACACAAAGCCCATCAGTCAATTGTCGTTGTTCACAGTAGTTATGGTCCATAGCCACCTCAAACATGGACTGAGCAAATACTGAACCACTGCTACAAGGGAAACGCAGGGCTGAGTTCCTGCAAGCCTCTGGTCACAACATTTTCATGAACCGATCAATAGTACGTGCCTTTGTTTTGTGTTGTCTTTGTTTAAAGAAATCTTATTTGATATATAGATTGTTGATTCATTAACATTGAACTGACAGCCCATAGCACCATAACTCATGCCCGAACAAAGCTGATCGAACACACATGTTTTCTCCATAAGGCACAGTCACAACCTCCTCCTGCTTAGGAACATTAGACAGCACTACACTAGGGGTCATTTGAAACGGTAGAATCATGCCTGTAATCCCAGCGACTCTGGAGGCTGAGGCAAGAGGAGCTGGAACCCAGGATGTGGAGGCTGCAGTGAGCTGGGATGGAGCCACTGCACTCCAGCCGGGATGACACAGCGAGACTCCATCTCTAAAAATAAATAAGTAAATAGCAAAATCACCAACAGAATGCTTAAAGACATGAAAAGCTTGGCCCTGAATACATCTAGGGGTTACAAATAAGCTTTAGCAAGTAGGGAGGTTTACAAATACAGAATTGGTGAATAATGAGCAGCTACTACACTTTGATCACATTCATTTTGACTCTGTTAACATGGTCATTTGAGAAAAACCATTCCCATCATATCTGTTTTTTTATTTTTTTATTTTTGGAGACAGTCTCATTCTGTGGCCAAGGCTAGAATGCAGTGGCGTGATCTTGGCTCACTGCAATCTCCACCTCCCAGGTTCAAGCAATTCTCCTGCTTCAGCCTCCTGAGTAGCTGGGATTACAGGAGCACACCACCACACCTGGTTAATTTTGTATTTTTAATGGAGATGGGGTTTTGCCATGTTGGCCAGGCTGGTCTTGAGCTCCTGACCTCAGGTGATCCACTTGCCTCGGCCTCCCAAAGTTCTGGGATTACAGGCGTGAGCCACTGTGCCCGGCTGATATCTGTACTATTACAAATGAGTCAAGTCATAGGAATAATGAAGTTTAATTGAGTTTTGGACAAGGCATGAAGACACCTGGGTCCCAGGCCTGCCCACCCCTGGCTGGCCCCACACATATCGGCCCATCAGCACTTTCTGAGCTTGTGTTTGTTTCTGAAATCAAGTTAATTAGTCTAAATAATTTCTAAAAATCTTCCCATGTCTGTGATTATTTTTCTGCGCTTTGCCTTTTCAATATAATAAAGATACTCTGTATTAGTCCACTATAAAGAAATAGCTGAGACTGGATAATTTATAAAGAAAAGAAGTGTAACTGGCCCACAGTTCTGGAGGAGATACAGGAGGCATGGCATCTTCTGCTTCTGGGGAAGCCTCAGGAAGCTTCCGATCATGGCAAAAGGCAAAAGGGAAGTGAGACATTTCACATGGCCAGAACAGGAGGAAGAGAGAGAGGGTAGAGGTGCTACACACCTTGAAACAACCAGGTCTCGTGAGAACTCACTCATGATCACAAGAATAGCACCAGGAGATGGTGCTAAACCATTCATGAGAAACTGCCCCCGTGATCCAATCACCTCCCATCAGGCCCTACCTCCAACACTGGGGGTTACAATTCGACGTGAGATTTGGGCAGGGACGCAGATCCAAACCATGTTATGCTCTTAACTAGAACTTAACAGGAAACATCTCCAAAATTTAGACAAAAAAATTTAGCCTATTGTGAAAAGCAGAGTCAATTTGCTTTTGTGCATATTTTTGGAGATGAACACTAACACTTCTGGTATTGCAGATAACTGGGCAAGGAAGTGAGAAGAGCTGGGAGCCTCTTCTAAAATATGTTGAAAATTTGAAACTAAAAAATGCCTTCTTTCCCACACGTGTGCAGCACACTGCTTGTGTGTGCATGAGCATTCTTACGAAACCCAGAAACGGATTTCCTTTTTCATCCTTAACAATAGTTCCTGGAGGATGTGTTGAGGTTTTTTTCACTTTCAAGGAAGGGAGGAGAGGGAGGAACCCAGCATAAGGAAAACACCCTCCACCCGTGGCAGGCAGGTAAGAATAAACTTAGCCATAGGAGATGCAGTCCATCCACTAAAGGCTGTCATTCTACGTCTTAATTATTGCTGTCTCTGCAGCGATCACCCTGGCCCAGGTCCTTAGCGATGGTCCAGGACCATGGCAATGGCCTCCAGTCCAGTTGTTCTACCCCACAGACCACCCACAATATGACTGAGCATTTGTGTATGAAAATATATATGTGCAGTTCATGTATTAAAATATGTACCTGCCTAAAATTCTTCAGTGGCCTCAGGATGAAGTAAACGTGACACGGAGCCTCCTCCCCTGGCCACCTCTCCCTTCCATATCTCATGGTCGGCCGCCCTGGGCAACATGTCATTCTGTGAAGGAGTCTGCCATTTCTACCCTGTCTGTGTTTGTCTGCATTGTTCTCTTGGCAAATTTTTTGGGTTTTTTTCTTCTTTTTGAGATGAAGTCTCACTCTGTCACCCAGGCTGGAGTGCAGTGGTGCAATCTCAGCTCACTACACCCTCCACCTCCAAGGTTCAAGCAATTCTCCTGCCTCAGCATCCCAAGTAGCTGGGATTACAGGTGCACGCCACCACACTCAGCTAATTTGTGGTTTTGTTTTTGTTTTGTTTTGTTTTGTTTTATTTTTCAAGACAGAGTCTCAGTGGTGCAATCTCGGTTCACTGCAACCTCCGTCTCCTGGGTTGAAGCGATTGTCTTGCCTCAGCCTCCCGAGTAGCTGGAACTGCAGGTGCACGCCACCATGCCTGGCTAATTTTTGTATCTTTAGTAGAGATGGGGTTTCACCATGTTGGCCAGGATAATCTTGATCTCTTAACCTTGTGATCCGCCTGCCTTGGACTCCCAAAGTGCTGAGATTACAGACATGAGCCACCAAGCCTGGCCGGCAAACTTCTTTTATCCCATAAAGCCCAGCTGGACTGTTTTCTGCGTCAAAAAATCTTCCTGCCTTTCCTGGGTAGAATGAGATGTTCCTTTCCCTCTAGGTATCAAAAAAAAAAAATCTACTTGGTATGAACAGCACCTCCAGACATCAATCAGCCTCCCCTCTGTGATGGGAAAAAAGCAGCACTACCCACGGATCTCCGTCTCTCTGCTGCCTTCACCCACCTGGGCACTGCTTGATTGCATCCCTAGTCCCTGTCCTCTGCCCCGGGAAGTCCCTGCTGGTGCCAAGCTTGTTACAAGAAATCATGTGTTTTAGAATTCAAAGAAAGGCCTAAAAAAGTAAAACAAGGAATCATTTTTCTCTCCTTTAGGAAATAAAGTTTGAGAAACAATTTGCCAGAGCAGCTGCCTTATATATGAAAGTACCAAATATTTTAGGTGAGAAACATTTTCAAAACACACTGCGATGGTCACACACCTCTCAGGGGATGATCACAGGTGATTTCGGAGCTCCGAGCCCCCCAAACCGGTCAGCTCAGAGGTGGTCAGGGCCTTGTAAATGTCTGCAGTCGCCACGGGAGCTCTGCAATGGAGCAGGAAGACCCAGGCATCCTCGTTTAGGAGGGCATGGAGTGTAACCCTAGCCCGGGTTTTGAGGTGTGCTGCTTCCTACCAGCAGCATCTGCTAGGACAATCCTGCCCATTCCTCCTCGCCAGGAGGTGCCCTGTGCCTTAGGTGAAAGGATCGCTGATAATAGTTTACCTACGAAGTGGTCATGCGGGATTTACCCAAGTTGGGGTTCCTCCCAACAGTGACTAATTGCAGAATGTTTCCTCACCCCCAAAACCCCATACCTATTAGCACCAACTCACTCTTTCCCACACCTCCCAGCCCCTGGCAACCACTAATCTACCCTCTGTCTCTCTAGATTTGCCTATTCTGCACATCCCATAGAACTGGAATCTTGGAATACGTGGCTTTTTGTGTCTGGCGTCTTTCGCTCAGCCTGATGTTTCCAAGATTCATCCACGTTGTAGCACATGTCAGTAGCACCTTCCCTTTCATGAGTGAATAATATTCCCTCATATAGACAATACCACACTTTATCCATTCATCAGCCGATAGACATTTACGTGTGTTGTCTCCGCTTTTCGGCTGTTACGGATAATGCTGCTGCAAACATCGATGTGTGAGTTTCTGTATGAACGTAGGTTTTCGGTTCTCTTGGGTTTATACGTAGGAGTGGAATTGCTGCATCCTGGGGTCACTCTGTGTTTAATATTTGAGGAACTCCCAGGCTGTTTCTGCAGCACCAAGCTGCTATTCTTGTCTTTCTCCTGGTACCTGGCCCATTCTGCGTGTCGTACAGCTACTTGTTTCAAGTCTAGTACCCTTGCAATGCATAACTCTTGAAGGCACAGGCTGCTTCTAACACTGATCTGTTCCACCCAGGGTGTAGATCTGAGCCTCGTATATGATGACAGCTAAATAAATTGACTGTGTGGAGGCTGAGTGAAAAGAGGTCACATCCACGGCCAACTCACTGGTGCCCTATGGCACTAAGAGCCAGCACTGCTTACCCGGGCACGGTGGCTCATGCCTGTAATCCCAGCACTTTGGGAGGCCGAGGAGGGCAGATCACTTGAGGCCAGGAATTTGAGACCAGCCTGGCCAATGTGACGAAACCCCATCACTACTAAAAATACACAATTAGCCAGGCATGGTGATGCACACCTGTAATTCCAGCTACTCAGGAGGCTGTGGCAGGAGGATAGCTTGAACGTGGGAGGCAGAGGCTGGAGTGAGCCAAGATTGCACCACTGCACTCCAGCCTGGGTAGCAAGAGCGAAACTGCATCTCAAAAAAAAAGAGCCAGCACTGTGAAGTGACTGATCTTCTTAGCACTTATCTTCTAGATCCTGATGTTTTCCCAGAATGTCATTTACCTCTCTAGGCCAACTTTTCCATGTCTCATAGTGGTTGAGAACTCCAGAGTTCAAATCGTAGCCCTGGCATTTATTAGCTGTGGGATATTGGGTGAGTTACTTCCTCATCTGTAAACCTGTTTCCTTACCTGTGAAATGGGCATGTTAATAATGCCTACTTCAGATGCCAGGTACGTTGGCTGATGCCTGTAATCCTAGCAGTTTGGGAGGCCAAGGCAGATGGATCACTTGAGGTCAGGAGTTTGAAACCAGCCTGGCCAACATGGTGAAACCCTGTCTCTACTAAAAATATTTTTTAAAACATTAGCTGGGCATGGTGGCAGGTGCCTGTAATCCCAGCTATTCGGGAGGCTGAGGCAGGAGAATCACTTGAACCTGCGAGGCGGAGGTTGCAGTGAGCCAAGATCACGCGATTGCACTCCAGCCTGGGCAACAAGAGTGAAACTCTGTCTCAAAAATAATAATAATAATGCCTAAGTGATAGAGCTGTTTTGAAGCTTAAATAAATTACTAAAATTAAAGCACTTAGAATACTGTTTGTCCTGTTAGTAAAGGTTCAGTAATGTGAGTGATGATTATTATTCTATAATGCATTTATTTGTTTTTCTCTTAAATTCATGTTTTACCCAGAAATTTGTGGGGTTTCTAAAATTTTTTAGAAATCCAGGTACTTAAGCAAGAGTTTGAAAATAGCATAACTTGGCTAGGTGCAGTGGCTCTAGCCTATAATCCCAGGACTTTGGAAGGCAAAGGTGGGAAGGATTGCTTGAGCCCAGGAGTTTGAGAGTAACCTGGGCAACATATGGAGACCCTGTCTCTACAAAAAATTTTGAAAATTAGCTGGGTGCAGTGGTGCACACCCATGGTCCCAACTATTTGAGAGACTAAGGCAGCAGGGATACTTGAGCCTGGGAGGTCGAGGCTACAGTGAGTTCTAACCGTGCCACTGCACTCCAGCCTGAGTGACAGAGTGAGACCGTGTCTCAAAAAAATAAAAATGAAAAGCACAATTTCTATCATGTTATTAGTTCCCAGGATTGGGGGAATATTCTTTTACCATGAGGTACACATTAACCTAGACACGTATTTTTAAAGCCATTCTTAATGTTAACATCTAACATTATGTATTCTACATTCATGTAGTGTATACATGATAACTTTCATATACTCCTAATGTGAAGAGGCTTAGTTACTTTACTGAAAACTTCTGGCTGGGCGCAGTGGCTCACGCCTGTAATCCCAACACTTTGGGAGGCCAAGGCAGGTGGATCACGAAGTCAGGAGTTCGAGACCAGCTTCGCCAACACAGTAAAACCCTGTATCTACCAAAAATGCAAAAATTATCTGGGCATGGTGGCAGGTGCCTGTAATCTCAGCTACTCGGGAGTCTGAGGCAGGAGAATCGCTTGAACCTGGGAGGCGGAGGTTAGAGTGAGCTGAGATTGCGCCACTGCATTCCAGCCTGGTGACAAGCGAGAGTCCGTCTCAGAAAAAAGAAAAAAAAAAGAAAACTTCTAACAAATGAAAAAAGATGACCATTGTAAGGCAAGTAATTGTTATATGAGATACTGCAATACACTTGTAGCATTTTGAAGGTCTTTTGCTAATCTAACTAAAAATTAATTGTATTAATTGATTTGAAATCAGAAAATACAAAAACTGCAGAGTATCCCAAAAATTAGAGTAGGCACTTAAATATGACTATTAAAATCCCCTTCTATCCATTTCTTTTTCCTGCAGTATTTTCCTCTCTGAGCCTTGGCCTGCTTCCAGAACGCTCTGCCACTCTAATGGTATATGAAGATGTCGTCCAAATAGTATCAGGATTCCAAGGTATATTTAATATTTTTTTCAGTTTTTATTGTTATTTTTGATGGATACATTATTGTATACATTTATGGTGTACAATGTGATGTGATGTTTGTATACAAGGTGGATTGATTAAATCAAACACATTAACCCATCATTAACTTGTCTATCACCTCACTTGCCTAACATTTTTTATAGTGAGACATTTGAAATTTACTCTTTTCATTATTTTGGTATGTACAATAATTAAAAAGAGAAACAACAGTCAGTTTTGGGCCACCTACTAAAATCTTATGGCTCATGCCTATAATCCCAGCACTTTGGGAAGCCTAGGTGGGTTGATCATTTGAGGTCAGGGATTGGAGACCAGCCTGGCCAACATGATGAAACCCCATCTCTACTAAAAATACAAAAAAAAAAAATATTTAGCCAGGCATGGTGGCACATGCCTGTAATCCCATCTACTTGGGAGGCTGAGGCAGGAGAATCGCTTAAACCTGGGAGGTGGAGGTTGCAGTAATCCAAGATTGTGCCACTGCACTCCAGCCTGGGTGACAGAGTGAGACTTCATCTCAAAAAAAAAAAAAAAACTTAAATGGAATCCACTTATTATTTTTTAAATTATACATCATACTTTAAGTTCTAGGGTGCATGTGCACAACATGCAGGTTTGTTACATCTGTATACATGTGCCATGTTGGTGTACTGCACCCATTAACTCGTCATTTACATTAGGTATATCTCCTAATGCTATCCCTCCCCACTCCCCCAACCCCACGACAGGCCCCGGTGTGTAATGTTTCCCACCCTGTGTCCAAATGTTCTCATTGTTCATTTCCCACCTATGAGTGAGAACATGTGGTGTTTGGTTTTCTGTCCTTGCGATAGTTTGCTCAGAATGGTGGTTTCCAGCTTCATCCATGTCCCTACAAAGGACATGAACTCATCATTTTTTATGGCTGCATAGTATTCCATGGTGTACATGTGCCACATTTTCTTAATCCAGTCTATCATTGATGGACATTTGGGTTGGTTCCAAGTCTTTGCTATTGTGAATAGTGCTGCAGCACTATTTATTAAATAGGGAATCATTTCCCCATTTCTTGTTTTTGTCAAGTTTGTCAAAGATCAGACGGTTGTAGATGTGTGGTATTATTTCTAAGGGCTCTGTTCTGTTCCATTGGTCTATATGTCTGTTTTGGTACCAGTACCATGCTGTTTTGGTTACTGTAACCTTGTAGTATAGTTTGAAGTCAGGTAGCGTGATGCCTCCAGCTTTGTTCTTTTGGCTTAAGATTGTCTTGGCAATGCAGGCTCTTTTTTGGTTCCATATGAACTTTAAAGTAGTTTTTTCCAATTCTGTGAAGAAAGTCATTGGGAGCTTGATGGGGATGGCACTGAATCTATAAATTACCTTGGGCAGTATGGCCATTTTCACGATATTGATTTTTCCTATCCATGAGCATGGAGTGTTCTTCCATTTGTTTGTGTCCTCTTTTATTTCGTTGAGCAGTGGTTTGTAGTTCTCCCTGAGGAGGTCCTTCACATCCCTTGTAAGTTGGATTCCTAGGTATTTTATTCTCTTTGTAGCAATTGTGAATGGGAGTTCACTCATGATTTGGCTCTCTGTTTGTCTGTTATTGGTGTATAGGAATGCTTGTGATTTTTGCACATTGATTTTGTGTCCTGAGACTTTACTGAAGTTGCTTATCAGCTTAAGGAGATTTTGGGCTGAGACGATGGGGTTTTCTAAGTATACAATCATGTCATCTGCAAACAGGGACAATTTGACTTCCTTTTTTCCTAATTGAATACCCTTTATTTCTTTCTCCTGCCTGATTGCCCTGGCCAGAACTTCCAACACTATGTTGAACAGGAGTGGTGAGAGAGGGCATCCCTGTCTTATGCCAGTTTTCAAAGGGAGTGCTTCCAGTTTTTGCCCGTTCACTGTGATATTCGCTGTGGATTTGTCATAAATAGCTCTTATTATTTTGAGATACATCCCATCAATACCTAGTTTATTGAGAGTTTTTAGCATGAAGGGCTGTTGAATTTTGTCAAAGGCCTTTTCTGCATCTGTTGAGATAATCATGTGGTTTTTGTCTTTGGTTCTGTTTATGTGATGGATTACATTTATTGATTTGCGTATGTTGAACCAGTCTTGCATCCCAGAGATGAAGCCAACTTGATCATGGTGGATAAGCTATTTGATGTGCTGCTGGATTCGGTTTGCCAGTATTTTATTGAGGATTTTTGCATTGATATTGGTCTAAAATTCTCTTTTTTGTTGTTGTTGTGTCTCTGCCAGGCTTTGGCATCAGGATGATGCTGGCCTCATAAAATGAGTTAGGGAAGATTCCCTCTTTTTCTATTGATTGGAATAGTTTTACAAGGAATGGTACCAGCTCCTCTTTGTAGCTCTTGTAGAATTCGTCTGTGAATTCGTCTGGTCCTGGACTTTCTTTGGTTGGTAGGCTGTTAATTATTGCCTCAGTTTCAGAGCCTGTTATTTGTCTATTCAGGGATTCAACTTCTTCGTGGTTTAGTCTTGAGATGGTGTGTGTGTCCAGGAATTTATCCGTTTCTTCTAGATTTTCTAGTTTATTTGCATAGAGCTGTTTATAGTATTCTCTGATGGTAGTTTGTATTTCTGTGGAATTGGCGGTGATACCTCCTTTATCATTTTTTATTGCTTCTATTTGATTCTTCTCTCTTTTCTTCTTTATTAGTCTTGCTAGTGGTCTATCAATTTTGTTGATCTTTTCAAAAAACCAGCTCCTGGATTCATTGATTTTTTGAAGGGTTTTTTGTGTCTCTATCTCCTTCAGTTCTGCTCTGATCTTAGTTATTTCTTGCCTTCTGCTAGCTTTTGAATTTGTTTGCTCTTGCTTCTCTAGTTCTTTTAATTGTGATGTTAGGGTGTCAATTTTAGATCTTTCCTGTTTTCTCTTGTGGACTTTTAGTGCTATAAATTTCTCTCTACACATTGCTTTAAATGTGTCCCAGAGATTCTGATATGTTGTGTCTTTGTTCTCATTGGTTTCAAAGAAATCTTTATTTCTGCCTTCATTTCGTTATGTACCCAGTAGTCATTCAGGAGCAGGTTGTTGAGATTCCATGTAGTTGAGCAGTTTTGAGTGAGTTTCTTAATCCTGAGTTCTAGTTTGATTGCACTGTGGTCTGAGAGACAATTTGTTATAATTTCTGTTCTTTTACATTTGCTGAGGAGTGTTTTACTCCCAACTATGTGGTCAATTTTGGAATAAGTGTGATGTGATGCTGAGAAGAATGTATATTCTGTTGATTTGGGGTGGAGAGTTCTCTAGATGTCTATTAGGTCTGCTTGGTGCAGAGCTGAGTTCAAGTCCTGGATATCCTTTTTAACTTTCTGTCTCGTTGATCTGTCTAATGTTGACAGTGGGGTGTTAAAGTCTCCCAATATTATTGTGTGGGAGTCTAAGACTCTTTGTAAGTCTCTAAGGCTTGCTTTATGAATCTGGATGCTCCTGTGTTGGGTGCATATATATTTAGGACAGTTAGCTCTTCTTGTTGAATTGATCCCTTTACCATTATGTAATGGCCTTCTTTGTCTCTTTTGATCTTTGTTGGTTTAAAGTCTGTTTTATCAGAGACTAGGATTGCAACCCCTGCTTTTTTTGTTTGTTTGTTTTCTGTTTGCTTGGTAGATCTTCCTCCATCCCTTTATTTTGAGCCTATGTGTGTCTCTGCACATGAGATGGGTCTCCTGAATACAGCACACTGATGGGTCTTGACTGTTTATCCAATGTGCCTGTCTGTGTCTTTTAATTGGAGCATTTATCCCATTTACATTTAAGGTTAATATTCTTATGTGTGAATTTGATCCTGTCATTATGATGTTAGCTGGTTATTTTGCTCATTAGTTGATGCAGTTTCTTCCTAGCATCAGTGGTCTTTAGAATTTGGCATGTTTTTGCAGTGGCTGGTTACTGGTTGTTCCTTTCCATGTTTAGTGCTTCCTTCAGGAGCTCTTGTAAGGCAGGCCTGATGGTGACAAAATCTCTCAGCATTTGCTTGTCTGTAAAGGATTTTATTTCTCCTTCACTTATGAAGCTTAGTTTGGCTGGATATGAAATTCTGGGTTGAAAATTCTTTTCTTTAAGAATGTTGAATATTGGCCCCCACTCTGTCTTCTGGCTTGTAAAGTTTCTGCCGAGAGACCTGCTGTTAGTCTGATGGGCTTCCCTTTGTGGGTAATCCGACCTTTGTCTCTGGCTGCCCTTAACATTTTTTCCTTCATTTCAACTTTGGTGAATCTGACAATTATGTGTCTTGGAGTTGCTCTTCTCGAGGAGTATCTTTGTGGCATTCTGTTTTTCCTGAATTTGAATGTTGGCCTGCCTTGCTAGGTTGGGGAAGTTCTCCTGTATAATATCCTGCAGAGTGTTTTCCAACTTGGTTCCATTCTCCCCGTCGCTTTCAGGTACACCAATCAGACGTAAATTTGGTCTTTTCACATAGTCCCATATTTCTTGGAGGCTTTGTTCATTTCTTTTTACTTTATTTCTCTAAACTTCTCTTCTCGCTTTATTTCATTCATTTGATCTTCAGTCGCTGATACCCTTTCTTCTACTTGATTGAATCTGCTACTGAAGCTTGTGCATGTGTCACGTAGTTCTTGTGCCATGGTTTTCAGCTCCATCAGGTCATTTAAGGTCTTCTCTACGCTGTTTATTCTAGTTAGCCATTTGTCTAATCTTTTTTCAAGGTTTTTAGCTTCTTTGCAATGGGTTCGAACATCTTCCTTTAGCTCAGAGAAGTTTGTTATTACCGATCGTCTGAAGCATTCTTCTGTCAGCTCATCAAAGTCATTCTCTGTCCAGCTTTGTTCCATTGCTGGCGAGGAGCTGCATTCCTTTTGAGGAGAATAGGCGCTCTGATTTTTAGAATTTTCAGCTTTTCTGCTCTGGTTTCTCCCCATCTTTGTGGTTTTATCTACCTTTGGTCTTTGATGATGGTGACGTACAGATGGGGTTTTGGTGTGGATGTCCTTTCTGTTTGTTAGTTTTCCTTCTAACAGTCAGGACCCTCAGCTGCAGGTCTGTTGGAGTTTGCTAAAGGTCCACTACAGACTCTGTTTGCCTGGGTATCACCAGCGGAGGCTGCAGAACAGCAAATATTGCAGAACAGCAAATGTTGCTGCCTGATCCTTCCTCTGGAAGCTTTGTCTCAAAGGGGCACCCAGCCGTATGAGGTGTCAGTCGGCCCCTACTGGGAGGTGTCTCCCAGTTAGGCTACTCGGGGGTCAGGGACCTACTTGAGAGGGCAGTCTGTCCGTTCTCAGATCTCAAACTCTGTGCTGGAGAACCACTACTCTGTTCAGAGCTGTCAAACAGGGACGTTTAAGTCTGCAGAAGTTTCTGCTGCCTTTCGTTCAGCTATGCCCTGCCCCCAGAGGTGGAGTCTACAGAGGCAGGCAGGCCTCCTTGAGCTGTGGTGAGCTCCACCCAGTTCGAGCTTCCCAGCCATTTTGTTTGGCTACTCAAGCCTCAGCAATGGCAGATGCTCCTCCCCCAGCCTTGCTACCACCTTGCAGTTCAATCTCAGACTGCTGTGCTAGCAGTGAGCGAGGCTCCATGGGCGTGGGACCCTCTGAGCCAGGCACAGGATATAATCTCCTGGTGTGCCGTTTGCTAAGACTGTTAGAAAAGTGCAGTATTAGGGTGGGAGTGTCCCGATTTTCCAGGTACCATCTGTCACAGCTTCCCTTGGCTAGGAAAGGGAATTCCCCGACCCGTTGCGCTTCCTAGGTGAGGCGATGCTCCGCCATGCTCCGTGGGCTGCACCTACTGTCCGACAAGCCCCAGTGAGATGAACCTGGTACCTCAGTTGGAAATGCAGAAATCACCCGTCTTCTGCATCGCTCACCTTGGGAGCTGTAGACTGGAGCTGTTCCTATTCGGCCATCTTGGAACCTGATCTGGAATCCACTTATTGTTGGATGGTGATAGCAGTGAATTTATCCACAGCTGGGACATAGCATCTATTTTCCCTGTGAGGCACACCACATTTGAATTTGATTAAACTATCAGTTCACTGTAAGTGTGTGAGAGAAAAGGAGGGGCTGTCCCACTCTGTGTGCCACCATCCCTTTCCTCTCCAATGGAGAGCATGTTCATCTTGTTTGGGCCACAGTCCAGGGCACTGCCTCTGCCTCACTTACAAGTGGACAGGGTCACTCCTAAAGACTAATAAGCAGGCCAGTGTGGCTTTATCCTCTCTCTTGCCCTCTTATTTTTTCAACCTGTCTCACAGGTTGTGATGTCTGTAAACATGATCTTGCCCCTCCTGCTCTCACAGAAAAGCTCACAAAGAAGGTTTGAGGGACTGTGCTTTCCTTGATATGGGGTTAGAATTGACAATGCTTGTGTAAAATGCATTTCTGTGCTAAGAGCATACTATTCCATCTAAATCATGGCCTGGCCAGGCACAATGGCTCACACCTGTAATCCCAGCACTTTGGGAGGCCAAGGCAGGAGGATCACTTGAGACCAGGCATTCAAGATCAGCCAGGGCAGTTAAGCAAGACTCCATCTCTACTAAAAATAAAAATGAAAAAAAATCTGTGTATGCTACTGCACGCCTGTAGTCCCAGCTACTCAGGAGACTGAGACAGGAGGATTACTTGAGCCCAGGAGGTCGAGGCTGCAGTGAACCGTGATCGTATCACTGCACTCCAGCCTGAGGGACAGAGTAAGTCCCTGTCTCAAAAAAGTGAATAAATAAATAAATAAAAAATCATGGGCCTGAGAATCATGTTTCCTGGCTTTGTTTGTTTGTTTGTTTGTTTGTTTGTTTGTTTGAGACAGAGTCTCTGTTGCCCAGGCTGGAGTGCAGTGGCGTGATCTTGGCTCACTGCAATATCCGCCTCCCAGGTCCAAGTGATTTTCATGCATCAGCCTCCCCAGTAGCTGGGATTACAGGCAAGCACCACCACACCTGGCTGATTTTTGTATTTTTAGTAGAGATGGGGTTTCACTATGTTGGCCAGGCTTGTCTCAAACTCCTGACCTCAGGTGATGCATCCACCTCGGCCTCCCAAAGTGTTGGGATTACAGGCACCATGCCTGGCCCAACTTTCTTTCTTTCTATCTCTTGGTCCCTTCTTCTTGGGAGGCTCCAGTGCCTGTGCTGGGCCCACATTTCTTCTTTCTGGTCCTAAACATCTCATCTAGGCCTCTGGCTTCCAATGCTCTAATTACTCCTGATTCCGTCTCTCCAGCCCAGACCCTCCCCACTGAAATGGGGCCTTGGATGACGCCTCTGCTTGGAGGCCTGTCAGGCACCTCCAACTCAGTATGGACACATAGAGCTTGATATTTTTGGCCTTCCCGTGATCAATGGTATAAACGTCTACCTAAGTTGATACCACTATAAACTCAGGCCAAAACTCGAGGAATTGTCCTTGATTCTTCTCTCCTCGAATCTCATTCTTTTGATGAGGTTGGTGTCTCCATCTGCATTGCCACCTCACAAATCCAGGATACCACCATGTCCCCTCAGGCACTGCAGTAGGTTTTTAACGGGTTATCCCATTTCACTCTTGCCAAACCAGTAATCAAGTGTTTACAAAGTGAGGGTGACCAAATCACCTTGCTTGGATCTTCAATGGTTTTCCCATTGTACTTGGAATAAAATCCAACCCCTTCCACTCAGGGCTGGACAATCCCCTGGCCCTGGGCCTCTGGTGGCTTCTGTGGTTGTCCAGGTCCTCCCTGGTAAGGAAGGGACGAGGCTACAGCATTTATACACACAGGGCTTCCCACACAGCCGGCTGCCTGCACCCCTTCTTCTGCCAGACGTGGCTTTTAGGCCCACGTGCTCACTGTCGGCCTCTTGTCTTCTCCTTCACAGCCACCTTCAACATCCACTGTCCCCACCTTTCCCTTTACTAAGATGCTGAAGGAGGCAATGTGTGGTTTTACTGTCCCTCACTCTTGGGGAGCAGCACTGTGAGGTGTTTGTGGTAAAAGCTTGAACTGCAGGGTCTGCAGTGACACCACACTTCGTCCGTCGTGGCTGTCCAGCCTCCTCACCGCTCCGTGTTCTGCTCCTCATGGCCACCCTGCTGGCCCTGACAGCTGGACACTTCACTGTCTCCTCTCAAGTCTCTACAGGGTTCCTCCAGGACCCAGCACCTGAGTGGGGTGCCCCCTGCAGTCTCCTTCTGCCTAAGCAGCAGTCACACACAACCTTCTTCTCCCCTTCTTTTTTTTTTTTTTTTTTTTTTTTTTTTTTGCGATGGTGTCTCGCTCTGTTGCCAGGCTGGAGTACAGTGGCGCGATCTCGGCTCATTGCAACCTCTGCCTCCTGGGTTCAAGTGATTCTCCTGCCTTAGCCTGCTGAGTAGCTGGGACTACACACACGTGCCACTGCACCCAGCTAATTTTGGTATTTTTAGTAGAGACGTGGTTTCACCATGTTGGCCAGGATGGCCTCAATCTACTGACCTCGTGATCTGCCCCCCTCAGCTTCCCAAAGTGCTGGGATTACAGGCATGAGCCACCGCACCTGGCCTCTTCTCCCCTTCTTATATCTCCATGAGTGGAATATGGCTGCAGCGAGCCTGATGTCACAGTCATCGGTTCTGTGCCCATGCACGCTGGCATTCCTTCCCCCTGCCCATGCGTGCCCACAGCATTGCCATGCCCATGCCCTGACACAGGCCCTGTTGATCTCTACCAAGACCACTGCAGTAGCCCCCCTGTGGGGTACACGTCTTTAGCCTTTGACTTAGGATTGGAGCCAGATTTCGGAAGGAGAAGCTAGACTTTCTAACTCGAGTCTCTGCTCTCCAACACACCGTGCGCTAAACTGCCCGTTGGGTCTACCTGAGGTGGAGCTCCAGTTCTTTCTGTCCCTTCCTGGCTCGCCTTGGCCTACAGAGTAAAATCCATTCTGCCAACTCACACTCCCTGGCCTCCGGGATATGGCCTCAACTTTTCTCTCTCTCTTTTTTTTTTTTTTTTTTTTGAAACAGTCTCACTCTGTCACCCAGGCTGAACTGCAGTGGTGCAATCACAGCTCACTGCAGCCTTGACCTCCCAGACTCAAGCAATCCTTTCACCTCAGCCTCCTGAGTAGCTGTTACCACAGGCACATACCACAATGCCCAAATGATTTATTTTTATTTTTAGTAGAGACGGGGGTCTCGCTATGTTGCCCAAGCTGGTCTCGAACTCCTGACCTCAAGTGATCCGCCCACCTCAGCCTTCCACAGTGCTGGGGTTACAGGTGTGAGCCACCATGCCTGGCCTCACCTCCCTTCTGAGTGTTTTTCTTTTTGCTGTGTTCTGGTCTACCTCAGTTTCTGTTTTCCACCTGGGGCTTTCCACCTCCTCTGCCAATCTGTCTGGAAACCCTTCCTGGACAGGAAGGGCAGCCTGGATGCCACATGGTTGGAAGGTCTTTCCTGAACATCCACTGGAGATGAGAGTCACACCGCCTGCCCCTGGCAGCCGAGGGGCTTGTGTCCTGTGGCCCTATCCCTCCCAGCCATGGCTGTTGGATCTGGAGTGGGCACCCAGCTTGGGGGTAACCAGTCCATAGTGTGGCCGCAGGTGGGACCCAGCAGCTCTCGTCCCCTTTCTTTTCCTGGGATTGAACTAAGAACCCAGCAGGGGTTGAGAATAGCGGCTGAATGGTCCTGAGATGCAGGCTGAGCTGTGCCAGGCCTTCTGTGAGCCAGGTAGAAGAACAGAAAGGATGCAGAAGCAGAAGAAGACACTCGGAGCAGGTCAGAAAGGAGCAGACGGCGTCCGTGGGTCCCACTCATGGCCCAGTGTTACAGGGAAACCCACTCACTCCTGCCAAGTGGCCTGAGAGCTGCCTGAGCCCAGAGCTGGTCGTTCTACCTCTTGTGCCTTCTACCACCTCTGGCTCCTGTTCTTGGAGCCACAGGTCCTCACCTCCCTTATTGTCCCTCACGTCCTTATCAGTAACCAAATGCAGCAGATTAAACAACCCACCAGCTGGGAGTTCTGGATCTTTCCATGATACCCCCCTTTCCTACCATATTTGGGAGTACACCTTATCTAACTGACTAAAGGTGAAAACCAGAAGGCCAAGAACTGTGTCTTCATCATCTCGGTCCTGCCAGGTCTGTGCCCTATGCCTGCCAATGGTAGACACCCAATGAGTAATTCATTGAATAATTGAGTTAAACAAATACAAAAAAAAAAATCAAAATCCAGCTGCTTTTTGTACTTCCTACATAGACTACTTACTCCATGGTCTTTTTTTTTTTTTTTTTTTTTTTTTTCAGAGGCACCATCTCAGCTCATTGTTGCCTCAACTTCCCAGGCTTAGGTGATTTTCCCATCTCAGCCTCCTGAGTAGTTGGGACTATAGGCATGCACCACTAAGTCTGGCCAATTTTTTTGTATTTTTTGTAGAGATGGAGTTTCACCATGTTGCCCAGGCTCGTCTCAAACTCCTGCGCTCAAAGATCCTCCTACCCTGGACTCCAAAAGTACTGGGATTACAGGCATAGGCAGCCACACCCAACCCACTTATTTTCTTTGTTCTGAAAGCTAAGAAAAGTACAGTACAGTACACACACAAACACACACGCACACACACACACACGCACACACACGAGTACTTGAGCAGCTCTTTCTCTCTCTGAGGAGCAAGAAGCATGAGCATATTATAAATCGGCCCGAGGAGTAAGACATTCAGGTAGTTTTCATTATAGTTAATTTTATCACTGCTTCCTGTACATAACCAGAAACTGGCTGCACCTTTTTATAATCTCATTTCCATGCCAGCTTTTTAAAATTACAAAATTTTGTTAATGTTTAAATGTGCCCTGCTTCCTGAGCTTAATCATGTTTAATTGTATGATTCCTTGTCTCGGTCGTATTGAGGCATGGCAATGATAATAATGGATCATTTTGTTTCCTGTTTTCCCACTAGTTGGAAGAAAGCCATATGTAGCTAAATAAAGGTGGTCCTTACTACCATGTAGATAAATAAATGGTAGTCTTTACTACCATGTAGATAAATAAATAGTGGTCTTTACTACTATTTGCTTAATACAGTTTATTTATTTTTTTTAAGAGACAGGGTCCCACTGTCACCCAGCTGGAATGCAGTGACTGGATCTCAGCTCACTGCACCCTCTGCCTCCCCAGCTCAAGTGATCCTCCCACCTTAGCCTCCCAAGTGGCTGGGACTACAGTATACACCACCACACCTGGCTAATTTTTTTTTTTTTGTAGAAACAGGGTTTCACCATGTTGCCCAGGTTAGTCTCAAGTTCCTAGGCTCAAGCTATCTGCCCACCTTGCCCTCCCAAAGTGCTGAGATGCCCGATGTATTTGTATTGTCTACAAAACTAATACAATACTGAATTTATAAATGACATATTAAAATTATGTTCTCAAACTGGTCACATTTAGTTGCATTTTTTTTTAATTGATTCAGGAGAAAAAAATAAATTCTTGCCTGCTCAGACATGCAAGCCACTATGCCCGGCCAGTTTTGTTGCGTTTTAAAAGTGAGGAAAGTAATGGTGTAACATGTTATTTTCGACACTGTTTTATAAAGAAAGCCTGGGCCAGGCACAGTGGCTCACACCTGTAATCCCAGCGCTTTAGGAGGCCAAGGTCAAGGCACTTTGGTAAGATCACTTGAGCCCAGGAGTTCAAGCCAGACTGGGCAACATAGCAAGACCCGAAAAATATTTAAAAATTAGCCAGGTGTGGTGTTGTGTGCCTACAGTCCCAGCTACTCTGGAGGCTGAAGTGGGAGAATCTCTTGAGCCCAGGAGTTCAAGGTTGCAGTGAGCCATGATTGTGCCAGTGTACCCCAGCCTGGGCAACAGAGCAAGACTCTGTCTCAAATAAATAGGTAGTTTTGTTGGTAGGTAGGTAGGTAGATGGATGGTTGGATGGATGGATGGACGGACGGACGGACGGAAGGATGGACGGATAGATAGATAGATAGATAGATAGATAGATAGATAGATAGATAGATAGATAGATAGATGAGATAAATGTATAGATAGATGATAGATTAGATAGATGATTAATAGATTAGATGGATAGATGATAGATAGATAGATAGATAGATAGATAGATAGATAGATAGATAGACAGACAGATAGATAGATAGATTGATAGGATAGATGGATAGATGATTGATAGATGCATAGATAGATAGGCAAGCAGCCAGCCAGGACTGTCTTAGGATAACAGGATGGTGAGGGGAAGGGTCAGAAGACTCACACGTATTCTCTGCAGTGTTAGGTGATGCCTCAGTAATTGGTCAACAAGAGGGATATTCCCCCACGTAGACTATATCTGAAAATGCGCTCAGTGTCACAAAACGCTGGCAAATTGTTTCCAAACTTGTCTGTGAGATGATAAGAGTATGGAAAGAGAGAACACTCGTAAATTATACGAATCATTTTCTTGGAGAGTGTTTTGTCCTTTGCTGAAGATCACATTTCCATCAAAATCTTGTGGGGAGGGGTTTGGTAGTAAATCCATAAATTAAATCCCAGATTATTTCTGGTAAGGGATGAATGGGGAGGCTGGCATTGTATGAATGCCGGAGATGAGACTGGGGGAGCCAGCCTGCAGCTCTGGCTCCCGGAGCCTCTAGGAGGCCCTCACGCTGTCTCAGAAACAACGACTCAGAGTGTGATGAGAGTAAATAAGAAGATACAGACAAGATGCCCCCAGCTGCCCATGGGCACTGTCATCGGGCCGACTGGCACCACCCAGGTCAGTGGTCTCCATCCTCTGCTTGGCTCCTCATGTTTCCCAGATGGTCCTTTTCCTGTTCCCCGGGCAGCTGCTGTGGGAAGCTTTTCCCAGCACACTCCATATGCCCCTCGCCCCACCTGCATGCCGTCCTCCCAGGAGGGCCCTGGTGGCTGGTTTCACAGGGAAAGCAGGCCGTCAGGGAAGCACGCCTTCCCGAGTGGTCTTCCTCCTGCCGCCTTTCCGAAGAGGACATGGCAGTGTCCTCCTGCAGCTTCTCTGCCCCACCATGAACCCCTTCACATTCTCATTGGAGCCCATTTGTTATCACCTCCTCTCACACCTCCCTGGATTTATGCTGAGCCTTTCATCTCTTCTAGTTCTTTCTCAGCTCTCAAAATCACTGAAGGCTTTGCCATTCAAAGCAAAACTCTTCTTAAGCCCTATTTCTCCTTCAAGTCACAATCTTCTCCCGAACCTTGGAGATACCTCCCCTTGCCAGGCACATGTCTTTAAACTCCCTTTTGTGCTGCCTCACACGATTCCTTAGAAATCCCTCTTGCTGAGCTCAGCAGAGCTACAGTTACGTGACCTAGTGGCCACTTCTTCCTAACTTCCCCGCAGCTTCACCACCCTACCCGGTTCTGCCTTCCTGGATGTCTTCATCCTTTCTCTGGCCCTCTCTCTGTTCATTGCTTCTCAATCTCCTTCATGGGTTCTTCCTGCTCTGCCTATCTCTTATTTCAAAAATAGCTTTCCACTCCAGCTGCCTTTTCTGTGAGGACCCCCAGAGCTGCTGTCTTTATTTGGAACTTTATCATTTCTCACTTGAATAATTTCATAGCAGCCTCCTGCCTGATCGCTCTGACATCAGACTCTGCACCCATGGCCATACTCCACCTGCTGTCAGAATTGGGCAAAAACAAATCGGAATCTTTCACTTCCCTACCGGTAACTCCCACACGCTCTCCCCTGCAGGCCCACACAAATCCAAACTCATTGATTGATTGATTCATTGGCAGGGTCTTACTCTGTTGCATGGACTGGAGTGCAGTAGTGCAATCATAACTCACCGTAGCCTCAGACTCCCAGGCTCAAATGATTCTCTTGCCTGTGTCTCTGGAGTAGCTCAGACTTCAGGCATGCGCCACCACACCCATCTAATTTTTCAGATTTTTTGTAGAGATGGGGTCTATGTTGCCCAGGCTATTCTCAGACTCCTGGCCTCAAGCGTTCCTCCTGCCTCAGCCTCCTAAAGCACTGGGATGACAAGGATGAGCCACCACACCCGGCCCCAAACTCTTGATTGGGACTTACCAAGTCCTTCCTAAGTCTCTCCCTCTGCCCCTGGACCCCACGTAGCTCACAGAGAGTTCCTTCACTTCCCCACACATGGTAGATTTTCTTTATCTGTGCCCCTTCATAGATGCTGTTACTTCTCCTCTGCCTCTCAACCTTCAAGACACAGTTCACAAATACCAGCCCGGGAACTGCTTTTCTCCTGGACAGCTGGCCACTCTCTCTCTTGAAGTTTATCTTGTACTTTCATCATTACCCTCTTATTCTAGCACTTAAAACACTATGATAATCAAGCCGTTTCCATGACTGCCTTCTCGACCCTTTTCTGTATTAGAGTAATGAATGTTATTGATGTTTTAGGGAGTTAAACATGTAAGAAAAGAAGGATGATGTGATAAACTCATCAAGAGGTGATGAAAGCTCTAAGAAGAGATTTCCTTGACTCTGATTCAGGGCAGAAGAGAAAGTACCATTATCCCCAAGATTACTGGCTCAATTCTTCACTGATCCATTTAAGGAGGCTAAATGGCATCTCAGAAAAGAGCCCCAGGGCAGAAAACAGAAAACCTCTGCAACCCTCCGGCTTTAGTTTTCCTTCAGGTGGCAACCCTTGGTTTTGTTTAAACTTCATCTTCTGAAATTGACTCGGAAATCTTCATCCCACCCTCCAAAAGGTTACTATTGGCATTCTTTTTAAGCTTCTTTGTTCATATGATAGTTCGGGAGAGGAACAGAGATTCAGATAGAGAGACAGCGGAAGACACAGAAAGAGACAAAGAGAGAAATGCCTTCTCCTCTCTTGAGTTCCGTGAATACAAACACTTTCCCTACTCCTCTTTGCAGTCGTAGACCCGTTGCAGGGAGATTCTCAGTGCCAGTTGTCTGGATTTTGTGAAGGTGCTCAGGGTATATAGTGCAGTGGTTCAGAATTGGGGGTGACTTTGCCCCCCCTCCCCAGAGACATTTAGTGAGGTCTGGAGAAATTTTGGGGGCTGCTACAGACATCTAGTGGGTAGAGGTCAGGGGTGCTATTAAACATGCTGCAATGCATGGGACACCCCCAAACAAAGAACTACCTGGCCCAAAATGTAAATGGTGCTGAAATGGAGGACCCCTGATCTAGTTGGAATGGAGACAGAGCATTACTGGAACATAGTGAGTTGCCAGGTTTAACTCATCTTCACATAAGTACCATTGAGCACCAACTGTATACAGAACATAGTGCCATGCATTTCACAGAACGCCTGGTTTAAGGAGCTTCAGTCTATAATGGGAAGAGGAAATGGGAAAGCAGTGCTTATCCAGGAGACACTGTTGGACACCATCCATATGTGTTCTGAACCAACATCACAACAGCCATATTATGAGACAGGCATGATTCATACCCATTTTAAAGATAACCTGAAGCCCAAATCACTCAACTATAAGGTGGTAGAGGAAAGATTTAAACCTGGAGCTAAGTGATTCCACCACCCATGTTCTCATGATGCTCTTGATTAGGCAGATGAACAAATATACAAATAATTATGATACAGGACATAGTAAGAGCAGTGCTACAAGAGAGATGCAAATAGAGCTTAGAGCTTAGGGTGGGATTAACAGACTACATAGAAGAGGTGGCTTTTGACATGCATTTTGGGTGAGCTGTAGGATGAGGGGAAGAAGTTTCAGACATGGAGATGCATGAATGTATATACACAGAGAGGCCAGGCGTGGTGGTTCACACCTGTAACCCCAGCACTTTGGAAGGTTGTGGAGGGCAGATGACTTGAGCCCAGGAGTTTGAGACCAGACTGGGCAACATGGCGAAACCTCATCTCTACAAAAAAATATAAAAATTAGCCAGGTGTTGTGGCATGTGCCTGTAGTCCCAGCTACCCAGTAGGCTGAGGTGGGAAGATCACTTGAGCCCAGGAGGTCAAGGCTGCAGTGAACTGTGATGGCATCATTGTACTCCAGCCTGGGTGACAGAGCAAGTGAAGACCCTGTCTCAAAAAAAAAAAGGAAAGAAACAATCAGACTTAGTCATGCAGTCCTATTTGGCCAGAGGATGAGAACTGGTTGGCAGTCAGCAGGGCATCTATTTTGAGGTAGGCATGGTGTGATAGGAAAGGATACAGAGTTAGAATTAAAATAATTCCTTTCTACCTCTTACAAGCAGAATGACTTTGGGCAAGTCACTTACCTCTTTGAGCTGTAGTTCATCATCCATAAAGAGGAAAGGGTTCCTTCTTCACAGGGTTGTTGTAAATATTAAATAACATATTTTTATTTATGCACTTTGTAAATTCTAAAGCACTGATCTATGCCTCTCATTTAGAGAAGAGGTGCAGTTGTAGTCTGGGTCTATATTGGTCTATTCATTTTTGTTGTTTTTTTTGTCATCATTGTTAATTTGGTAAGTGGGAGAGATCCGTTGATGGTTTCTGGGCAGGGAAAGGACATGATTAGAGTAGTATCTTTGAACAGTCACAGTGTCAGTAGATGAAAAGGGAGTGAGGCTGAAGCAGATGGCCCAGATAGGAGGCTTTCACAATAGTTGAGGTGAGAGGCAGTATAAGGTAACATACGCTGTTGGATGCAAAAAGGGAGAGAAATATGGTGCAAGAAATTTGTTAAGGGAAGATTGGCCAGTCTTGGCACTTGAGTGAATGCCAAGGATGATAGATAGGGAGAATGATGGCACTTGAGGATGATAGATAGGGAGAATGATGATGGTGACCTAGAATCAAAACTGGGTGTTGGGGAGACTGGAATATTGTTAGGTGAAAGAGAAGGTAGATGATGATTTTAGAGTGACAGATGGGCATCTGGGTAGAAGTGTCTAGAAGGCAAGGGAAAATCCAGGCATGGAGCTTAGAAAAGAATCCAATGCTGGAGTGGATGGTACCAGCCAAGGCAGTGGCAGTGAAAGGGAACCCACAGGGAGCGAGCAGAGCACAGAAATGGCACAGGCGATGGGTGGTAGCCCTCTGGGAGCTGTTTCATCCAGAGGTAGGACAAGAAAGGAAGGACTTGCAAAGGAAACAGCAGGCAGACACTGGAGAGAACCAGAGTGCAGGACCATGAATCCCAAGGAGGAAGGGGATTGTGGGCAGGAGGGGCAAACAGTGTCAACCATTGTGAAGAGGTCGACGAGGATGGAGGCTGAGCTGTGGTCATGGGGTTTGCGGATCACACAGTCGACGTCTCCAAGGGCAGCATGCATTGTGGGTAGAAGCCACATCACTGGAGCTTGGTGGAAGGACAGAAGGCATTCGCTTATGGGGATAACAGAGTTAGAGTAATGTTTGCTTGTTATTGTTCTAGACTGGGGAAAAAATGAGTATTTTTGTTGGTTGGGGAGGAAAAGCCTATAGAGAAAGAGATTGCTGACGAAGGCAAAAACAGGTGGTTGAGCCAAGTCTTACAATGAATAAGCAAAAGTTAAATTAGAGGCTTGGATTGACCTTGGAGGTGGTTAGGGGCAGAAGAGAAGAGGGAAGAACAGATTTTTGAAAGCAGAGAGTTGGGAGGCTGAGGCAGGCGGATCACCTGAGGTCAGGAGATCGAGACCAGCCTGGCCAATGTGATGAAACCTCATATCTACTAAAAATACAAAAATTAGCCAGGTGTGGTGGTGGGCACTTGTAATCGCAGCTACTTGGGAGGCTGAGGCAGGAGAATTGCTTGAACCCAGGAGGCAGAGGTTGCAGTAAGCCGAGATCACGCCACTGCACTCCAGCCTGGGCAACAGAGCAAGACTCTCTCTGAGAAAAAAAAGAAAAAGAAAAAGAGAAAAGAAAGAAATGCAGCGAGAGGAAGCGGGGACCCCCGTATTTTCAGGAGAGCAGGGTCTGAGTATTTTGGGGATGGGGATGGAGCCCTACAGGCTTATCCACTGCCTACCCTGCCACCCCCTCCCAATCATATTCCTTTCTGTAGTGTGGAACTATTTAGCGGCTTTAGTACACGGAGGCAGGCTTAAGAATATAACCGCTCCCCCAACCCCATGCATACCATCTTTCGATTTTATTTGTGCTGTGGCTCAGAATAGCTTGCACCCTTAAATTCCTCACGTGCTGCTTCAGTCATTTTCATCACCATAGGTGTTGCCTGTGCTTTGTGGTGGGGTGTTTAGTCCCTCATGGATGGTACCCGTGTCGTGCCAGTCCCAGGGTGTGTCAGATAAGCTGCACCGGCCATATCCTTTCCATGAGGATCTGCCCCCACATAGCCTGCTACATACCCCCAGCCCCCAGCCCCAGCAGATAGACCCTGGATGTCTGGCCAGGGACCAAATTCTCCTGCACAAGTGGGGAGAGAGATGTGTTGCCCACCCAAATGCATGTAACACTTGATCTGCTCGAGAAGGCACGAGAAGCAGAGGATCAGGGGGAGACACCAGGGCCCTGAGAGCTGGGGAGAGCAGCCTGGGTTTCTGGTTCTCTGGGTCCCAGGCCAGTCCCCGTAAGTCCTGGCTAGGCTGCGTATCCTGGGCCCATTCCCCGGCTCCCCCTTGTCTTTCAGCAACCCTCAGTCCAGTCGGAGAAGGTTTCTGTGCCCCACTGCCCTCACACAGGTCTCTGCCAGCCCATCTCACAGGGGCTCCTCCTAAGGCCTGGAGGGGTGCACTTTTCCTTCCCTGCTCTGGGATCACCAACCCAGCTTCTGCCTCTGCCCGGACCCTCATGAGGACAGGCTCCCTCTTTGCTCCATCACATGTAGACTCACCATTCTTGTTCTCTTCCTATTAGCAGAGTGCTTTACTTTTCCACCATGTGAGACCCAGGCTTCTACACAGGGGCTTGTTCATTGAATACTATCAGCAGCATTATTTAGCCGGAAAACCAGTAGATAACATATATTTCCTGATCATTGAAAAAAATACCAGAAGCAATGAATGTTGTTATATCATCCGGAGTGAGGAGATGAGAAAGAATGCTGGCTTTGACCTTCCATCCTGGAGGGCAGCGTGGAAAGGGAGAAGAAAAGCAAGCTGTGCGCCATGTGTGTGGGCAAGGGGGAGAAGGGATGAGAAACAGACTGCCCCTGGCAGGACACAGAGCGTTTGTGGGACCCCCGAGGAATTTGAACTCTCCACAGACCAAGGAGGTGGCAGGAGTAAGACATCGGTATTCTGTAACATCGAGGGAAAATAAGACCAGACTAAGAAGAATACAATAATGTTAAAATACCCAGATCCCCAGAGGCTGGTGTGTCGCTGTGGGTTTGTTTTAGGGATGAAGAAGGGGAATCGATGGTCTGGAGCTAGACTAATGTCTGTGTCTGTTTAGTTTCAGCAGAGATGACCGGAGTTAGATAGGACTCTCATGATTTTGGGCACCTGCTCGCTGGGCTCTAAACCTGGGCCTGGATTTCACAGAGTGGAGAACCAGCCCCTGGAGAAGTCTACCTGCTAGTTTTTAAAAGGAAGAGGGAGCATTGTGACTCCCTGCCAGTTAGGCAGTGTGTAGCCAAGACAGGCTGCCCCCGACATAAGTCCTTTGGACCTCAGTGACTTCACCTTTAAGAAGAGAGACTTGGGCTAGTGGATTCTTGGAGCTCTAAAACTCCCTTTTTCTAGAACACGTCTAGACAGGCTTCTTCACTCCTTACAAGTTCTTTGATCCAGAGTTAAAAGGAACCCTGGAGTGGAGATAAAGCCCACCAGCTCCGTGCAGAGCTGTTGAAGCAGGACAGCAGGGGGCCGGGAGAAGGAACCCTCAGCAAAGCACAGGTGGAATGTGGTCTGCCTCAAGCCTGGGGTTGGATCTACAGTTTTTCTCTTAACAATGCTTTTGCCAGGTTTGCACAAAATTACCTAGCACCTTTACGTCTGGTGAATATCACCGCAGCATTAGGTAAAAACCAGTTCAGGTTTTATGATCAAAACAACATCTGGGCCAGGCGCGGTGGCTCACACCTGTAATCCCAACACTTTGGGAGGCTGAGGCGGGTGGATCACCTGAGGTCAGGAGTTCAAGACCAGCCTGGCCAACATGGTGAAACCCTGCCTCTACTAAAAATACAAAAATTAGCTGGGTGTGGTGGCGGGCACCTGTAATCCCAGCTACTTGGGAGACTGAGGCAGGGGAATCGCTTGAACGGGAGGCAGAGGTTGCAGGGAGTTGAGATCACACCGCTGCACTCCAGCCTGGGCGACAAGAGCAAAACTCCATCTCAAAAAAAAAAAAGAAGAAGAAAAGAAAAAGAAAATTTGGAGCAAAGTTAAGCTGCAGAGGACGGCACAACCAACTGTCTAGGGCCTGTCAGCCCAACCTGTCCTCCTACACAAAGGAGTTGAGTTTGGTGAAGAAGCATCATTTTGCATCATTTCAAAAGTCTCATCCTAAATTCTGTGACATAATCCATCACAAGTAGGAAGCACGCCTCCAGAATAGACTGGATGATGACAAATGGCAGCTCCCACAGAAAGAGAAGATTCATTGCCGCTGGGGTATTGTTTGCAATTCTTTTCAAGGTTGCACTGTTAATTCCCTTGCCCTCCTTCAATTTGGTTCATGGCATTAAACCAGATTTTTCCAGGGAGATTAAAGACGGGTTTGCAGCGGTATCAAAGAGTATCTCTTACATTGTTTGAGTAAAGAGATTAATAGTCATCTACTTGTTTCATTTACATGGAGTTTCCCAAAATGCTACCCAGATCCACAGGCAAATGCTGGGCAGTGACAAGACTGCTTGCACATGGAACTTGGAAAAAGCTTTTTGTTAAAAACCTAAATAACATCCTGTGTCAAAACAAATGTGACAATGGGCTATTATTTCTCTCCCCATAATAGCATGTTGTCACATCTCTGTGTCCTGCATGAATGGGGGAAGGGAGGCCTTGTGAGAGGGAGCAGGGTGGGGGAGGCGTGCTGAAACCTTAGAGAGGCACTTCCTGGTTTTGCATTTTCTAAAAACAGAAACTGCTCCTGGGGGAGATAACTCGGAGGTTAATCTCTGCAGGTGCCCGGCCACAGCCTCGCGTTCATTTCCAGAGAAGGGCTCTGAGGTTGCCTGAGAACACCAGCTACAGTGACCTGACCGCGTTTCTCACGGCCGCCAGCTCCCCTTCGGAGGTGGACAGTTTTCCTTATTTGCGAGGATTAGACGGAAATGGAACAGGTAATTGGAGTCTTTTCTCTTTTCAGTGGGAGTTACTGTGTTTTAGTCTTTACATGTGGATTTTAGGTATGATTGGGAGTTTTAGCACTATGTGGGAGAAAGGCACTGAAGGTGCAGAAGGGGAATTCTTGGTACAAGTTCAAGTGCTTTGAAACTGTGTTACGTCGGTACGAGCCCTGCAGAATTACATGTTAGCACATTGGTCTCCTTGAGCTTTTCTTCTGTTACCAGTTGCCTTAAGCACCTTCTCTGAGCTCTCCTTTGGTGGACTAAATATATTCAATTCAGAGAAATTCTTATTGAAATTGCAATTTTTTTAAGTATAAGATTAGACTTAGGGTTTTTGGCCCAGCTGCCCTCTGCCTCGTCCCACGAGCCCCCATTTGAGAGGGTAGCCTGTGGGTGGGTGGGGCTGGTAGAGACTTACCACCCCACCCACCTATGCTGCAGCCAGGAGGGGAAGAGGTGGTGCTTGGTCCAACTCAGAGACAGGCATACCTTGGCTCCATGCCCCACCGGCATGGGGACCACTTAGGATGGGGAGCCTCCGCCCTCTGCCATCTGTGTCCACCCAGCTCTTTCCCACATCGTTTCTTTCTCTGCACTTGCTCTCTCTGTCCTCAACTGGGCATAGAGTGGCCAGGCTTTGAATTTGCTTTAGAATCCGCCCTCTCCTGGCAGGTCTCTAAGTCAGCTGGGTCAGTACCACTATTCTGGCATGCCACAGCTAAAAGATCAGAGAAACTAAAAGCCATCCACCAGAAAATAAGTGATAATTCCTTATCAGAGAAAGACCCAAGACGGGTACCTTCCACCTCTGTTTGTGTCCAACTGCACCATTCTCTGGACCCCTTTGCACTGGAATGGTCCCCACTCCTCCTGGTGGAAGAGGTGTCAGGATTCTGGAGTCCTGAATTATTTTCTTGTCTACCCCACTTTCCTTTCCCCCACACTTTAAACTAATCACAGCATTAAAATTTTAAATCAAAGGCTGTTCTGAGTTGCATTCTGCTAGGAGAGTAACTCACTGCATTTCCCAGGGATACTTGGCTTGAATTTCACTTAATTTTCCAGTGCTTTACATAAACTGATTATTCTGAAAAAGCTTTTAAACCTGAAACATTTGATCCATTTTGTAGCATATTAATAAGTTTCTGGTTATACATAAAGGCAACATGGTGATTTGTTACTCATTTTTCTTCTCTCTGTTTTCCAAAACGTTTCTTCTTTAATTTTTGTGTGCTGATGAGGATGTGATTAACTTGTCAGTAAATATGTCAGTACTTGGTCATCAGAAAGATGGCATAGCAGTCATCTTAAGTAAACATTATTAGGAAAAAAAAATGTTGACTATTACTTGAAATGTGCCGGTCTGGGAGAAAAGTCTTGTTTTGGGGAGCATGAAGAAGTGGTTTAAGGCTGGGTGCGGTGGCTCATGCCTGTAATCCCAGCACTTTGGGAGGCCGAGGTGGGTGGATCATTTGAGGTCAGAAGTTTGAGACCAGCCTGGCCAACATGATGAAATGCTGCGTCTACTAAAAATACAAAAATTAGCTGGGTGTGGTGGCAGGTGCCTGTAGTTCTAGCTACTCAGGAAGCTGAGGCAGGAGAATCGCTTGAACCCAGAAGGTGGAGGTTGCAGTGAGCCAAGATCGTGCCACTGCACTCCAGCCTGAGCAACAGATCTAAACTCTGTCTCAAAAAAAAACAAAAAAACAAAGTTTTAAAATATCATAGCCAGCATCCAGCCTCCCGGACAAAATGGTGCACGATCCACAAAACCCTAACTTGGAGGGACAGCCTCCGTGCTCGGGACTCATTAAATTTTTCTGTGCCCCACTTCCAGTAGCTCTTGAATAAATTATGCAGTCTGAGAAAATGGGGGAAAACGAACACTAAGACACAGAACTATTGATTTTAGAGGAGTTTGTCCTATTTTAAGATCATTCCGTGATTTCAAAGGGAAGAGAGGTCTTTGCAATGTGACATGAAATTTCTCTTCCACGGAAAGAATGGATGACTTGACCTAGAAATGACTAGGCTTTCTTGGAGACCTAGCAGCGAAGGCATCCACCCATAGTGAATTCACACGCGCCCTCGGGGACTTGGAACCTGGGCTCCCTTGAGCACAGACACCTCAGTAACTCACCAGCTCCATGGCGGCCCCTGGGGTCAGTTTGCACACAGCTTGTCTTTTGCCCACAGTCACTCATCTCCTGTTTTACTAAAGGCATCTAAGAGCTCACAGCCTAAAGAGAGCACGCCTGGACCAGACGTGTCTTTGGAAGATGACACAAGTTCATCTCCCGAAGACGCAGAAAATGACTAGCGTCATAACCAGAGTTCAGTGAAGGTGGATGGAAACAGAGAGGCTGCGGAAGAGACTGGAAAGGGCTCCGAAAGGCTGTTTTCTGGGGGTACCATGAAGGTTGTGTTGTTTGGTTTAGAGGGTGGATCCAGAGTTGTAAGTAAGTGGAGAAGCATCTTCTCTTTCTAGCTCTTGGGGGCCCCCTCCTCTCACCGGAGAGCATCGCACTCTTCCCCCAGCTGCTGAGAAAGCACAGAATGTTCCGTGGTGTTCCCAAGGGGTTTTTACAAAAATTGCTTTCACTAATAACTCCAGGAAGACAGAGAAGAGTCAATAAAATGACAGGTGCAGACTTTTCCTGCAATTCCAAAAAGTTGGTAGAATACAGAGCCCAACAGAACCTTAGATGTCAGCTGAGCAGAACCTGTCACGTGACGAGTGACCAGGTAGATGGCCCAAGGTGATACAGCTCCTCTCCTCGCTTGGGCCAGTGGTGTTCTGCCCCGCAACACGATCCTGCTGCATTTGCCTGACACCTGCTTGTCTTTGTGCAGACTTAAAGGGAGCCAGGCAACATCCAGATGGAACGGGAAGGATGACCACTTTCTATATAAAACTCAGTATTTTGTGTAAAATTGGAGTTTCATAACAAAGAGAAGGAAAATAGTTTAGCCCTTCAAAATGTGAATTGTTGCAGAATAGGCCAGGCGCGATGGCTCACACCTGTAATCCCAGCACTTTGGGAGGCCGAGGCGGGTGGATCACTGGGAGGGAGGTCAGGAGTTCAAGACCAGCCTGACCAACCTCATCTCTACTAAAAATACAAAAACAAAGAAAAAAAAATTAGCAAGGAGTGGTGGTGTGTGCCTGTTGTCCCAGCTACTCAGGAGGCTGAGGCAGGAAAATTGCTTGAACTGAGAAGGCAGAGGCTGCAGTGAGCCAAGATTGCACCATTGCACTCCACTCTGGGTGACAGAGCAAGACTCTGTCTAAAAAAAAAAAAAAAAAAATCGTTGCAGAATAAACAACATGGGGACATAGAGGGAGAGTCATTGGGAAGGCATAGAGAAGCAGGCATTTAATGAAGCCCTGAGGGAGGAAAGAGGCCTCAAGAAGGCAGATATAATTCCCCACAATGTCTTAAGACAGCTAGAGGACACTAAAGGGACATGAAATCCCATGAACCTAATGCACATTGCTGTCCATTAATATGCTCGTTTCTGCAATGCTCTACTTACTTCTGAATGTTTCAAGCTGAGTGTACTTATTTCCATAGATGCAGGAAGGCATCTAGTCTACCCTCCTTAGTTTTGAAGGTAAGAAAAACAGACCCCAGAGGAATGAAGTCACTTTCAGAGGTGACATAGGCAGTGAGTGGCAGATCTGGTACTGGGACTCCATCTTCCTGGGCTGGGAATGTGCAGGAAGGGAGAGTTGAAAGGTGACAAGGGAGGAGAAGGGAGACACCATTTCTAGGGCTTTTCTCCTCTATCTACCAAGTACCTGCTACCTACGTACTTGGACATCTTGACTAGAGTTTGATGAAAGAAAACAGCACTCCCTGATGGAAAACATTATCTCTCAGTTGTTTATACAGTCTAGTAAATTATTTAATGTCTCTGTAGTTTCTCTTTTTTTGTTTTGTTTTGTTTTGAGACAGGGTGTCACTCTGTCACCCAGGATGGATTGCAGTGGTGTGATCATAGCTCACTGCAGCCTTCACTTCCCAGGCTCAAGTGATCCTCCCACATCAGCCTCCTGAGTAGCTGGAACTGTAGGCATGCACCACCATGCCCAGCTAATTTTTTGTATTTTTTTGTGCAAACGGGGTTTCACTATGTTGCCCAAGCTGTTCTTGAACTCCTGGGCTCAAGCAACCTGCCTCGGCCTCCCAAAGTGCCAGTATTACAGGCATGCGCCACTGCGCCTGGCCAGCTTTTCTGTAGTTGTAAGTTCCATCTTCCTGAGAGGGCCTAACAGAATCTAGAGCAGTAGATTGTAGACCTGGCTTTGCTTCTCTATCAACTTTGAGCTGCTGGCACATTTGTGTTTCAAGACACAAAATCTTTGGACCAGAAACATGGTAAATTCTGAGTTTTGTTGGTTGGTTGTTTTTTTACCATAAAATGACATAACCAGACTAAGAGATTTCAAAACTTGGATCTGTGATTCCAACTTCGATCTTTCCACGAAATCTCCATTCCCACACCTTTGCCTTCATTAAAAAACAGACGGGTATGAATGATAAAAGGTAGGGTGGCATTAGCTGTGTAGAAATTGCTGTATGAAGGATTTAGCTGTAATTCATTGTTGAGACTCTAAAATTCACTAGGTTTTCTTTAAATGTTTAAATGTAGACCAGATTGGAGGTTTACATCAGCTCAGTTTGGTAGGTAGGTAAGTATATAAGTAGCTGAATAAAAAGTCCTATAGATTGTATTTTAATGCAGCTTAAATTTTTTATCGCTGTGTTTTTGTCATTGTGCTCAAAGAAATATGTAAAATTATGACAACACAGTTTGTGCGATATTGTATTTCACTAGAGGAAAATGTAAAATGGATTGCTTGAGTGCATAAATATATCGGTCTCATAAGCATTCTCTAATTTATCTGTAGGCAGTCATTAAAGCTTTGGCTTGGACCAAAGGCCTTTAATGGAAAATAATTGGTATACTGAGGTCCTTTTAAACAGATCAAAATAACAATGGCAATTAAAATAACTCATAAATATTTCAAGTCCAGTCCTCAATAGCATACTTTTTAGCAGAAGTTAATATTTTTGAAGCAATCCTTGAAGAAATTTGCTATGTTAAAAAAAAAGCAGCCTCTGCTCTAAAACATTTGGTTTTATTAAGGTTATCTGCCAAGTAATTAACATGTGCATGGGGCTCACTTTGTGTAAAAGTTATTTCCGGTGATTTCCACTTACACCTTTGTCTCACATTATAGAAAAATCCTTCTCTTTTGAGATCGTTTTTGAAAGCAAAACACAATAATGAAAAATAGCAAGCCTGACCGGGCACAGTGGCTTAAGTCTATAATCCCAGCACAGGCCTGGGATTGCCAAGGCAGGCAGATCACCTGAGGTCAGGAGTTTGAGACCAGCCTGGCCAATATGGCAAAACCCCATCTTCACTAAAAATACAAAAATTATCCATCAGGGTAGTGGAAGCCTGTAATACCGGCTACTTGGGAGGCTGAGGCAGGAGGATCGCTTGAACCCAGGAGGTGGAGGTTACAGTGAGCTGAGATTGTGCCATCGCACTCCAGCCTGGGCAACGGAATGAGACTTCATCTCAAAAAAAAAAAAAAAAGAAAAAAGAAAACCTGAGCCTAGATTCCAGCTCAGCCCATACTGAGTGTATGCCCTTAGGCCACCTACCATTACTACTCTCTCTGAGCCTGTTTCTTTGTGTGTAAAAATGACGATTTTACCTGCCTTACTGGGTTGTGGTGAGGATTATGTATGTAAAGTGCTTCATGCAGTCCCTGGCATATAGGAGGTAATGGTAGCTGCGACTATTTTTTTGCAAAGGTTTCCACAGCCCCACATGGGTACTTTGCATGCAAATGATGGAAAATGCCTCTTCCTTCTAGGAAACAGCACCAGGCATGACCTGACCCCAGTCACAGCCGTCAGCGTCCACTTGCTGAGCAGTAATGGAACGCCGGTGCTGGTGGATGGTCCCATCTATGTCACTGTGCCCCTGGCCACGCAGAGCAGCCTGAGGCACAATGCCTATGTCGCGGCGTGGCGGTTTGACCAGAAGCTGGGTAAGCAAGAGTTCTGTGCCGACAATCGGCTACCAGATGGCTTCGTTACTGTTTGGTTTTCCTTCTAAGAAGCTCATGGAAGTCTCCTTTCCTTGAAGTCAGTGAATGCTGCTGCTCACATTGCATTGTGTGGTTTCTCATGGGGACGGCACCCTTCCCCGTGCCATTCAGACCCTCTCTTGGGAACTCATTTTTTGTTAGTTTTCATATTTGTTTTTGTTTTGCACATTTAACCTAATTTACTTGAAAAGAATCTGTAAAGGTTATTAGAGCTAAAACTGGCTCTCCTAATCTTCATCCTTTTATTCATCAGAAGGTCATATGGTTGCTCTTGGTCATGTGTGGTATTTTTTTTTTCTGTTTTCTGAAAAAGGACAAACATTTGCCAAAACTGTACAAAACAAAGAAAATAAAAATTACCCATAAGTCTCACCACCTAGAGAAAACCACTAATATATCTTGAATTCTGTCCTTCTAGGGCTTTCACAGTGCACGTAGGTATTAGTTATCAACTGCTGTGTAACACCACCCTAAAAGTTAGCTGCTTAAAACAACAGTGAGCTCCAGTATCTCAGAGTTTCTGGGGGTCAGGAATCCAGGTACAGCCGAGCTGGGTGGTAGGGCTCAGAGTCTCTTACAAGGCGGCTGTCAAGCTGTGAGTCAAGGCTGTGGTCCTCTCCAGCAGTGTTCAGCTGGGGCTAATGAGTGTGACTCACAGGGCTGAAGGCAGACCTCACTTCCTTGCCGGCTGTTGACCAGAGGCCTTACCTCCTTACCACGTGGGACCCTCCATAGAGCTGCTTACTACACGGTAGTTTGCTTTCCCCTGAGCAAATGATCCAAGAGTAAATAAAAATGATATAGTAGGCTGGGTGTGGTGGCTGACACCTGTAATCCCAGCACTTTGGGAGGCTGAGGCGGGTGGTTCACTTGAGGCCAAGAGTCTGAGACCAGCCTTTTAAAAGCCCAAGTGCCCAGATTGAGGTCATGGTCTTTTGTAACCTAATCCCAAAAGCAGCATACCATCATTTCTTTCCATTAGGCTGTTGGTCACACAGACCCACACTGGTATAGACCAGCACTGAGAGTAGACTATACAGGGGAGTGAATACCAGGAGGCAGGGGTCACTTGGGGCTGGCTATCTGAGAGGTTGCCTTCTACAAAGCATATTTAGCAGAAATGAGATCATGTGCTGGGTACTGTTTGGGTGCAGTGGCTCACACCTGAAATCCCAACACTTTGGGAGGCTGAGGCGGGAGGATTGCTTGAGCCCAGGAATTCAAAGTCACAGTGAGTGATGTCGCTATGATCGAGCCACTGCACCTCCTAGGCAACAGAACGAGACCACTCACTCACTCAATCAACCAATAATATATACATAAAAATACATTTGTACAGCATGAACATCTTTCCATAGCATCATTATTCTGCCATGTCAATTTTAATAAGTCCATAGTATTCCACCCTGTGGATATATCATACTTCACTTTGGTTCATCAATCCCCTGCAATTAGAAAAAAATGTTACTATTCTAACCAATGCTGTAGAAAATATCTTTCTAGCTAAATCTTTATGCACAGCCTTGGTTATTTCCTTAGGATGACATTTTAGAAGAATTGCTGAGTTACAAAATGTACAAAATTCTAAAACTTTTAAAACATATTTCCAGATTTCCCTCCAGACAGTTGTATTGGTTTGCACTCATGATACCAGCCCACGAGCATGTGCTCGGGCTGAGGGTCTTGGCAGCGTGGGGCCTCTTACCCCCCTTTGCTTCCTAGTGCCCTGAAAGTCAAGCTTGAAAATATCAATTTGCTGCTGGGCACGGTGGCTCACACCTATAATCCCAGCACTTTGGGAGGCAAGGCGGGCAGATCACTTGTGGTCAGGAGTTTGAGACCAACCTGGCCAACATGGTGAAACCCTATCTCTACTAAAAATACAAAAAATTAGCCAGCTGTGGTGGTACATGTCCATAGTCCCAGCTACTTGGGAGGCTAAGTTGGGAGGATCCCTTGAACCTGGGAGGCAGAGGTTGCAGTGAGCCAAGATCGCATCACTGCACTCCAGCCTGGATGACAGAGCAAGACTGTCTCGAAAAAAGAAAATACCAGTTTTCAAATAAGCCAGTTCAGAATTTAAAACTGTTAGACCATGCATGAAGATAATTGGGAGATTTTTGATATCAGTATATTTTCAAAGATATCTAATTCCTCGAATCAGTTAAAACAGAGTTCTAGGAATTATATTTTAAAAGAAACGCCTGTTGGGCTTTTGGAGGGGATTTTTGTTTTGTCTTATTTTTACTTTCCAAATAATTAATAGAGACACTGTAATTATTTGTGTGGAATGCATTGATTTTACCAGCCACAGTAAACTTGATATTGTTAAGTGGATTGTGATGCTGTCTGTTCACATATCCTGCAGTAAGCAAGACGGGCACTTCATTGATGGTGTGTGTTCTCTGAGAGCCTGATAATCTGTTCACATATCCTGCAGTAAGCGAGACGGGCACTTTATTGATGGTGTGTGTTCTCTGTGAGCCTGATAATTTGGGGGGCATCAAGGTCATGGTGGGGACCTGAGGTACACTGTGCCTCCAGGAGGGAGTAGCCTGAGGGATGTGTGACCAAGAGTCTCTGAAGAATGCCGGAATTCTAAAGGGAGGAAGAAAATGGATAAAGAAAAACACAGAGGAAGTGGGCAAGAGAATGGAAAGAGCTTTGAGTTTGTGTTTTGTTTCCTGAAAACCTGGGTTCTGCTACTTATAAAACTGTGAGTCCCACCTTGGGCAAATTACTTACCTCTATTTGCATTTGTAAGAGATATGAATATACACCCCCTTGTATGGTCTGCCTGTCCCCTGTAGCCCTCCCAGGGGGCGCTGAAGCGCACCCAGGTCAATGCACTGAGAAGCAGCGGAGAGTGTGGTTAAGAGCAGGGAGTCTGGGGGGCACAGTGGTGTGGAATGCCAGCTCTGCCACCCACTGGCTGTGTGGCCCTGGCCAAGTTACTTAGCCTTTCTGATCTAGTTTCTTCCACTGTGAAATGGCAATAATAATAGTACCCACTGTTGTTATAATGAGTGTATTAGGATTCTCTAAAGAAACAGAGCCAATAGGAGATATATGTATATTTGGAGAGATTGATTTTAAGGAATGGCTCACACAATTGGGAAGGCTGGCAAGTCCAAAATTGCAAGGCAGGCTGATGAGATGAGGCCCTCCCTCACTGTGGAGAGTGATCTGCTTCACTCAAAGTCAACAGATTGGGCCGGGCACCATGGCTCATGCCTGTAATACCAGCACTTTGGGAGGCCAAGACAGGCAGATCACCTGAGGTCAAGAGTTTGAGACCAGCCTAGCCAATATGGTGAAACCCCATCTTTACTAAAAATACAAAAAATTAGCTGGGCGTGGTGGTGCATGCCTATAATCCCAGCTACGCCAGAGGCTGAGGCAGGAGAATCACTTAAACCCAGGATGTGGAGGTTGAGGTGGGCCAAGATAGCGTCCCCACACTCCAGCTTGGATGACAGAGTGAGACACCGTCTCAAAAAATAAATAAATAAATAAGAAAAAAAAAAGCAAAGTCAACTGGCTGAACAGTTTATCTCTTCTAAACAAAATACCTCCCCAGTCACATCTGGACATATTTAACCACATTTCTGGGGACTGTGGCCTAGCCATGTTGTCAGACAAAATTAGTCATCACAAAAGTAAATGACAGCTTGTCACTTTCACGAGCACAGCCGATCCTTTCCAGTCTCCTCCCCGGCCTCATCCTGAGCACATTGTGCACGTTGCAATGGTCCTATCAGCTTGAACGGCACGGTATGCGGGTGCCAGTTACTCCCTGTGCCCTCCCTGAGTCTGTGCGGGGACCTGTTACTCCCTGCACCCTCACCGAGTCTGTGCAGGTACCAGCCACTCCCTGCACCTTCACCAAGTCTGTGTGGGTACCAGTTACTCCCTATGCCCTCACCAAGTCTATTTATTCTGAATGCTTGTGATCAATAACAGTTTCTGGCATAATGCTAGGTACCCAACTAAAATGTCTGTTGAATGGTTGAATCACATGAGAATAATTTTAGGGTTTTTTGTTTTCTTTTGTTTTTAAGAGACAGGGTCTCCCTCTGTCACCCAGGCTAGAGTGCAATGGTGTGATCATAGCTCACTACAGTCTCTATCTCAAGAGCTGAAGCAATCCTCCCACCTCAGCCCCCTGAAGAACTGGGAGTACAAGGGTGGTCACCAGGCCTAGCTAATTTGGGGGGCTTTTTTGAGACGGAGTCTCACTCTGTCGCCCAAGCTGGCGTGCTGTGGCAAGATCTCAGCTCACTACAACCTCCGCCTCCCAGGTTCAAGTGATTCTAGTGCCTCAGCCTCCCAAGTAGCTGGGATTACAGGTGCCCACCACCACCCCAGGCTAATTTTTGTATTTTTTTAGTAAAGATGGGGTTTCACTATGTTGCCTAGGTGGTCTCGAACTCCTGAGCTCAAGTGATCCACCCACCTCAGCTTCCCACAGTCGTGGGATGACAGGCGTGAGCTACCATGTCTAGCCAATTTAGATATCTTTAAAAGGCAATTTAAGATACTCTGATATGCCTGTAATCCCAGCACTTTGGGAGGCCAAGGTGGGCAGATCACGAGGTTAGGAGATCAAGACCATCCTGGCTAACACGGTGAAACCTCGTCTCTACTAAAAATACAAAAAATTAGCCGGGTGTGGTGGCGGGCGCCTGTAGTCCCAGCTACTCAGGAGGCTGAGACAGGAGAATGGCGTAAGTAAACCCGGGAGGCAGAGCTTGCGGTGAGCTGCTCAGTCAATGTATACATTGACTGTATACATAGAATTTACCTTTATGTATATATGTATATGTACACGTTATAAAAGGATGATGTTTAAGCTCTTGTTTAGAGGGAGGACAGTTCTATTGGATTTTTTTTCTATCTTGGAGCCTCCATCCCTGCTGTTTATTTTTTGCTTCTCATTTTTGCCTTCTCTTTTTTAATGAGTATATTTGAATATGGAGGAATAAGGCTGGGGCTCCTAATATAAGGAAGCCTTCCCTAGGGATTCCTGTATGGGTTGTGTGCACTGTAACTATATGGCACAGGTGTATGAAAGCAGCATCCTTGCTTTCCTCGGTGGACTTTATATACAGTTCACAAATAACAAACTTAAAGAAGTTTTTGATGTCCATGGCAGATGGAACTATCTCTGCATCCTAATCTCCAGGCCCTGTGGATATTACCTTATACGGTCAAGGGACTTGGTGGAAGTGATGAAGAATCTGGAGATGGGGTGATTCTCATGGACTTTCTGGGTGGGCCCACGGCCATCACAAGGGCCCTTATGAGCAGGATGCAAGAGGAGCCAGAATCAGATTAGGAGACGGCAGTGTGAGGATGGGAGCGCAGGCCGGAGCCATGCACTTTGGAAATGCGAGAAGGGGACCCAAGCCAAGGAATACAGGCACCCACTGGAAGCCAAAATCAGCAAGCAAGGGATTCTCCCTTCTGAGCCTCCAGGAGAAACCGGCCCTGTGGACTCCTTGACTTGAGACCAGAGAAACTGGTTTTGGACCTCTGACCTCCAGGAGTATAAGAAAGTAAATCTGTGCTGTTTTAAGACCCTATTATTTGTGGTAATGTTTTTTATAGCAGCAATAGGAAATGAATACAATACAGAAATTGGTGAAAACAGAGGTGTGTGCATTGTTAGGAAGCCTCTGAAATATAAGTTAGCCCATTCTCTGTTTCCTCTCTGAAAAAATAACCATGACAGTACATTGGGAATCTTCATTGTGAAGTTGACCTATTTCCGCTTCCTTTTTTTTTTGAGACGGAGTCCTGCACTGTCAGCCAGACTGGCATGCAGTGGTGCAGTCACAGATCACTGCAGCCTCGACCTCCCAAGCTCAAGCAATCCTCCCACCTCAGCCCCCTGAGTAGCTGGGACGACAGGCACACACCACCACACCTGGCTAATTTGTTTTATTGTTTATTTTCCGTAGACACAAGGTCTCACCATGTTGCCCGGGCTGGTCTCAAATTCCTGGCCTCAAGTGATCCATCTCAGCCTCCCAAAGAGCTGGGATTATAGGCGTGAGCCAACGCGCCCGGCCGAAATGGTCTTTTTAACTTCACATTTACTATGAAAAATGTAACTGCCAAATTCCTGGTTGTAACAGATTGCATGTATGCAGAAAAAAGCCAACGTTTGTGGATAGTCATTCAAAAATAACCAAATGAATTAAAATGTTTTCTGAAAACTTTAAGATGGACATTTCAAAGAAACCATATGTTTTTTCACTTATTATACTCAATAGAAGCCTGCATATTTCATAAGACTTTTGTTGCTATTACATTAATTGTAATATTATCTAAGTAGAAATTAAAATATTTTAGTTAAATAAAAAATCTAAAGACGGTATTAGATCAGGAAAAAAATGGGGAATGGGCCAACACATCTTAAGCACATAAAACAATTTAATAATTAGCTGCTATTTATGATTACAGTAATCGATCATCTCAAATAGTTTAATACTTTAAATTATCTATTTTTGAGGTAAATCAAAATAACTGCCAATTCCAAATTGTTTAACAGCCAGAAATGGCACAGATAGCAACTTGTGAATCTATTAATAATTTTTCATCTAAATTGGGTTTGGCCAACTGTGGCCTGAAAGCTAAGAATCATTTTTACATTTTTAAATGATTAAAGAAAAAAATCAAATGGGGGAATGTTGATCAAGGGGTACAAAGTTTTAGTTCTTCAGGATGATTAAGCTCCAGAGACTTAATGCAAAGCCTGCTAACTGTTGTTAATAGGACTGTACTGTATACTTAAAATTTACTAAGAGGGTGGATTCAAAGTGTTCTCACCACCAAGAGAAAGAAGATGAAAAAACAATGGTAACTGTAAAGTGATGGATATGTTAATTAGCTTGATGTATATATCAAAACATCAGGTCAGACATCTTAAGTACATAAAATTTTTGTTTTTCAACTGTACGTCAATAAATATGGGGGAAATGAATCAAAAGGAGAATATCTCATGGGTCGAAAATTACATGAAATTTATACGTAAGCATCCCTAAATAAAGTTTCACTGGAACCTTGCCAGGCCCATCTGCTGGCATATTGTCTGTGAGTGCTTTTGCACTACAACGCAGGGTTGAATCATTGCAACAGAAACTTATATCCCCACAAACCAAAAATATTTACTATCTGTCCTCTTACAGAAAAAAATAAAAAAATTTAAAAAAAATTGTGACCTCTGGTCTAAATGCCTTCCAGAAGTTCTTTCCATTCTAATATTACAGTGCCAGTGTATTCCACACTCTACAGGAGCAAACTGGGGTGCCCAGACAGCCCCAATGTCCATATTTCCTGTTAGCTGACAGCTCCCCTGTATTTTGCCAGAGTTGACAACTGATACTCAGAGTGACAGCACCTTCATTGTAGGGCCAGACCTCAAACTCTGTAAAGAAAGATGAAATTATTTTATGGTTTGATGGGACTTCTGTTCAAATGATACAATCACATGGTAGTTTTTGTTTGTTTGTGTTTGTTTGTTTGTTTGTTTGTTTGTTTAAAGAAGGGGTCCTGCTCTGTCACCCAGGCTGCAGTGCAATGGTACAATCGGAGCTAGAACTCCTGGGCTCAGGAGATCCTCCTACCTCAGCTTCCTGAGTAGCTGGTACGACAGGTGTGTGCCAGCATGCCCAGCTAATTTGTAAATTTTTTTTTTGTAGAGATAGGGTCTTGCTGTGTTGCCCAGACTGGTCTCAGACTCCTGCCCTCAAGTGATCCTCCCAACTCAGCCTCCCAAGTCACTGGGATTACAACGACTGTGAGCCACCACCCTGCCTCAAAATCACGTTTTAACACTAACTCAGTATATCCATGTTTTAACTCTAACTCACACACTTTAATCCTTGACTGCCAGGAAATTGAAAGTTTACTCTTAGGAGAGAGAACTAGAGATGCTCTCTTTCAAACCCCGTGAGAGTGGGATCAATTTTTGATGCTGCCGTTTTTCACAGTTGTCTTTTAATTTTTTTCTTTTGGAACAAGCAAAGAATTTCCCATTCTTGAAATTGGCATCTTCATATTTCAACCTATATATTCATTAGAAGGTGATCAACTAGATTAACACCATCTTAGAATACAAATAACATTGAATTTGTTTAGCATGTTACAACAGCATGAGTTGGCTAATTGCTATATGGACCCTCAATAAAAATAATTTTATGTGTGTGTGTGTGAGATGGTGTCTCGCTCTGTCACCCAGGCTGGAGTACAGTAGCACAATCTCAGCTCACCGCAACCTCTGCCTCCTGGGTTCAAGTGATTCTCTGGCCTCAGCCTCCCAGCTAGCTGGGACTACAGGTGTGTGCCACCACACCAGGCTAATTTTTGTATTTTTAGTAGAGATGGGGTTTCACCATGTTGACCAGGCTGGTCTCGAACTCCCGACCTCAAGTGATCCGCCTCTGCCTCGGCCTCCCAAAGTGCTGGGATTACAGGCATGAGCTACCACGCCCAGCCTAAAATAAATTTTTTAAGAAGCACGACTTGCATATATAAGTTGAGCATCTCAAATCCAAAAATCCAAGGTTTGAAATGCCCCAAAATCCAAAACTTTTTAAGGTCCATCATGATACTCAAAGGTCATGCCCAAAGGCAATGCTCACTGGAGCATTTTGGATTTTGGATTTTCAGATTAAGTATGTTCAGCAGGTAAGTATAATGCAAATATTCCAAAATCCAAAACACTTCTGGTCCCAAGCATCTTGGATAAAGGATATTCCACCCATACTGGAATCGAGACTTTTGTCACATTGACATGTTTTGTTAAAGCTATTTTGTTAAAATGCTGTGATTCGTAGAGCGAAGGAGCACTCTATTTAGTGGATCTCTTTTCCTTAAAGAATCAGCGGAATATGTAATGATCCAATTGTGCCCTCTCTGTGTCCCGGGTGTCAAGATGTATGTGAGGGGAATGGGTTAAAATGAATTTGTAGCCAGGCACAGTGGCTTACACCTGTAATCCCAGCACTTTGGGAGGCCAAGGTGGGCAGATCACTTGAGGTCAAGAGTTTGAGGCCAGCCTGGTCAACATAGTGAAACCCCATCTCTACTAAAAATACAAAAATTAGCTGGAGCCGGGTGTGGTGGTGGGTGCCTCTAATCCCAGCTTCTTGGGAGGCTGAGAATCCCTTGAACCTGGGAAGTGGAGGTTGCAGTGAGCCAGGATTGTACCATTGCACTCCAGCCTGGGCGACAGAGTGAGACTGTCTCAAAAAAAAATAAAAATAAAAATAAATAAATAAATAAAGTGAATATTTATTGTGCAGTGGCCAATTTGACCTTTGAAAGAAGCAGTTTTCCTTCCCATGTCTGTCAAAGGAAGTTTTGTTAGTCATAGCGAATGCCTCTTAGCTGAGCCTTTCTGGACAGTAAGAGATGATTATGTCAGCTCTATTTTACAGACGTTTACCCTTTCTTTATCCTGTAACTGGGGCAGCAGATGGCTGTCTGATGTACAGGTTGTCAGACGGACATCTGACTTGTTGCCCTGGGGAATGGTCACAGGCAAACCAGGTCAGTGGTTTGAATTTAAAGCGATGGACATCAAGTGGCAAAAAGAATAAATAAAGATTTACGGATCCTGTATTTGATAAGTTTCTCCTGTTTAATGGCAACCTGGATTATATGATTTGGATACTCTCATTCTAATGAGATGATAGAAATAAAAGCATATTCTAAGAGTGAAGCTACATTGTAGAATCCAGTTTTCACTGCCTCTTCAAAACACAGCCTGAGAGTGTGTGGGGGTTGCTATAGAAATGGTGGTTACTGAACCAGCCTCTTACCACGTACGATGCATTCGTGTCAGGCTCTCAGGAATACCCACTCACAATTGGCCTGTAGTAGATTCGTCTGCACTTCAGACGGTGAATGTTACGGCTATGACAAGCTCATTTAATTAGTCCTTTTACCTAAGTGACGGACAACTTGCCCTTGAAGGTGGAGACTCATTTAAAACACAGATCTAAGATTGTTTTTCAGGTTCATTGGGTTTTTAATTGGGGGTGGGGGGGAAGGGCGGCAAAGAGTGGGAGTTCTTAAAGCACAAAATTATGTTTACAACGTAAAGAAAATGAAACTATTATTGAACATGGAAATGATGAGCTTTGGGTGATAATGTCATGTGAATGCAGGCTCATCAATTGTAGCGAAGGCACCTCTCTGGTAGGGGATATTGATCAAGAGGGAGTCTGGGCTGTATGTGGGATATCTGCACCTTCCTTTCAGTTTTGCCGCGAACCTAAATCTGCTCTTTAAAAAATAGTCTTCAGTGAAATCATTATTACAATATTAGCTTATCTTTGTCTCTATATATCACAAGCCACATGACTAGGTGAAGTAACCCAGATTGGAATACTGAGGTGGGTGATTGGATTATAGGGATAAACAGTACTACACTGTGCCCCCAAACATTAGAATGAAAGAAGGGAGTTCATTTCTTTACCAAGTCTGTGCGTAGATGTGTGACGTGATTTTAGAACCTTGGGCATCATCTTTTATTTTTTGAAAAAGAATAGATGCCGTAGTTCAGGGCATTCAGCAAAGGAGGAATTCAACTTACCTAAGGTAATATCAACATATCCCTAAGAAAGCTGTTATTGGAAATAGGCCTTTTTACAGTGGAAATATTCAGAGTCAAGGCTATGGCTTAGAAATAAAGAAATAACTCTCAGGAAAAGTGTCTGTACTTTCCCAGATGTCAAAATCACTCTTAGGGGTGAATGGGGCTTTAATGAGACCGGTAGGGGAAAAGGGGGTAATGTACCTGCAAAAAAAAAAAGCGATTGAAGTGATCACAGATAGCAAAGAACCCGGAGAGCATGGGACTTGTTTGGGTGTGATGACAGTTCAGTGAAAACTTTGTCTCACCAAAGATCTTGGCAGCCAGGCGGTCAGTTGTGACTTTTCATGGAGATGCCAGTTGGTGTCTGTTGCCACTGTGGACTCAGCATCGCAGTGGCTCTGTACCACTCCTGTTCTCCAATGGAGTGCAGGAAGGCCGGGTAGCACTGGTCCTGCCCATGGGAGAACAACCAAGCTGTGATCTCAGAACATCGACATTTGTTTTTCAGTGTTGCCTAGCAACTCAAAAAACAATCTTGTATTATCAATCCATTCCTAGGAATCATTAAGCCTTTTGTGTTTGTCTCCCCCCAAAATGAGAACTTTCATAAAATAATAGCATCACATTTGTTCTAGTATGATCGGGTTCAGGGGGCACTTTTGTTTAAAAACCCCATTCTTAGGGACTTAGGTCTCTTAACGTATCATTTTATGTAGAACTAGAATTTCCCGTCTTGGTATAGCCTGCTTTTGTGATCTTGGAGTTGTAGAGGTTTTATTTTACACTTCATTCTTAGTTACCACTTATGGAGTATTCACTTTGTGGATTATCTGTGGCAAATTTGTGTCTTCCTGCGGGCTTTCCCCATCACCCAGGAGCCTCAAGGCCCTCTTAGTTTGCTGCTATTTGGCCTGGATTTTCTTTTTCAAGTCAGAGTCTCACTCTGCCTCCCAGGTTCAAGCGGTTCTCCTGCCTCAGCCTCCCAAGTAGCTAGGACTACAGGCAAGTGCCACCACACCCAGCATATTTTTGTATTTTTAGTGGAGATGGGGGTATCACCATGTTGGCCAGCGTGGTCTCAAACTTCTGGCCTCAAGTGATCCTCCTGCCTCAGCCTCCCAAAGTGCTGGGATTACAGGCAGTGAGCCACCACGCCCAGTCTGGCCTGGATTTTAAGGACAGCATCTAACACAATCATTCTAATATTAACCTGGGTGAAAAAGAACTAGGAAAGTAAAGCCACTATATTTCAGAATTCAGTACTTTTAAGTATCACCTGGTTTCAGTTGCCTCCACTTGAGTGGGTAATTAGAAGGTAGAATATTATTGATAGATGTGAATATTGCACTGGATGAGACACAGCTGATAGCATTCGTGAACAGGATAGAGGCAGTGTGCAGCCCAGCCACCGAGACGGCTTGGTCTTGAATGCCGGCTCCTCCTCTGGTGACTCGTTGTGTGGTCTTGAGCAAGTCCTTTTTCGTCTCTGGGCTTCAGTTTTCTCCTCTATAAAATGGGGATCATAATAGCCCCAGCCCCTCCCTCATAGAATTGCTGTGAGTGGAGAGTGCCTACCACAGAGCCTGGCGCTTGGAAAACCCTCCGTATGTGTTTGCCGCTCTTATCATCATCATCGCTGCTATTATTTAGCCCATATGCAGTGTGTGATTTTTTTTTTTTTTTTGGAAGCATGATATAAAAGGACAGGTACAGGAAAGCCTTACTGTTTTTAAATTTAACATCCCAGTCTCACCCAAGGTTGCTATTTAGCTGGAATGGCCCTGCCATCCAGTCTGATTGGTCGGGGCCCATACCTGACCAGCTGTTCCATATTTGGAAACATCATTGTTTGGGATTGAACTTCCAAATAACTTTAAAGTTCACAATAAGTGGTGCCTTTTAATTTGGGTACAGCAGGAACGTAAGTCTCTGATGTCCAAAGCGAGTGTTCGTCTAGTGTGTGAGCCTAATGTGCTCCCTGGCTCTGCTCACTCCTATCTCCTGGCTGAACACCGTGGCTCTTTCCAGCAACCTGTGTTATCCTCACCTTGTAGGTGAGGACCCCGAGGATGGGTACTGGGGAGAGATGAAGGTTCCAGGTATCCAAGGTTTCCCCAGTGAGATTCAGCGTTTCCCACTGAAGCCTGTAGATCCAGACCGCTTCTTTGAGGCCTGGGAATCATCTGCAAGGATTTTCAAATTTGGAGTTTGGGGTTTGATCATGATCTTTTACAACTTAACATGAAAATATTCTGCATCATCTGAATTCAATACAGAATTTAAAACGATCACATAATGTTATTGCCTGAGTCTGCATTTATGAACACACTGTTGGATAGAATAGGACAAATGAGAATGAACCATGGTAAATGTAATATACAAATGATACAACACCAGCATAATAAGGACAGGTGGAATTAAAGTATGTTGAGAGATGGGAAGTTTTACAGTTCAGTTTGAGAAAGGTAGTGGAAGAATTGAATCATAGTCATGCCAAGCTCGAAAGAAGCCCCACCTAGCCATGGATGTCATGTGTATGTATGTTGCAAGTGACAAGTTCAGTTCAGTAATATTGAGGCAGGAGAATTGGGTCTGAAGGTAGAGAACCTAAGGCCGACTCAGCTGACTGGATATCAGAGGTTTTTTTTTTTTTTTTTTTTTTTTTTTTGAGACAGAGTCTCGCTCTGTCTCCCAGGCTGGAGTGCAGTGGCGCAATCTCGGCCCACTGCAACCTCTGCCTCCCAGGTTCAAGCGATTCTCCTGTCTCAGCCTCCCAAGTAGCTGGTATTGTAGGCGCCTGCCCAGCTAATTTTTGTATTTTTAGTAGAGACGAGGTTTGGCCATATTGGCCAGGCCGATCTCAAACTCCTGTCCTCAGGTAATCGGCCCTCCTGGACCTCCCAAAGTGCAGAGATTACAGGCGTGAGACACCACGCCCGGCATAGGGGCTACTTTTTAACCCCTCCTTTTTCTGCCTGGCAGTTGGAAAATGAAAAGTACCTCTGATCGGCCCGGCACGGTGGCTCACGCCTGTAATCCCAGCACTCTGGGGGGCCGAGGCAGGCGGATCACGAGGTCAGGAGATCGAGACCATCCTGGCTAACACAGTGAAACCCCGTCTCTACTAAAAATACAAAAAATAAATAAAAATTAGCCGGGCGTGGTGGTGGGTGCCTGTAGTCCCAGCTACTCGGGAGGCAGAGGCAAGAGAATGGCGTGAACCCCAGAGGCAGAGCTTGCAGTGAGCCAAGATCGCGCCACTGCACTTCAGCCTGGGCGACAGAGCAAGACTCCGTCTCAAAAAAAAAAAAAGAAAAGTACATCTGATCGGTCCCCTCCTGCAGCCAATCAGACTGGTCGCTAGGCTACTTTTCCCCTCCCGTAACCAAAGAGACTGCTCATGGGCTACTAGAGTGAGCCAATACGAAACTGCTATAGGGTATTTAAACCTCAGAACATTCTGTAACCAATGTTCCCGAGCCTCTTGCTGTAGCCTCTGCCAGTCTGTGGAGTGTACTCTCGTTTAAAATAAATTTCTGCTTTGGCTGCTTTGCTTGTGCGTTTTGTCCAATTCTTTGTTCAAAACGCCAAGAACCTGGGCAGCTACCCTCAACGGGTAACAATATGTCATCAGGTACACCATTAAGTTGATGTTTTTAATTCGAAATTTATTTTGAAACTGTAGCTTTGTTTCTTGTTTCTTTCGTAAGTTTGTTTTGGTTTTATACTTTTGTATGAGCTATAATCTCTTTTATGTTAGCACTCACTTAACACATGATTTTTTAAAAGAAGATCAACACTTTGTATGTTTTTTTTTTCCTTTCGAATGTAGTTTTGTGCCTTCATCACGCCTGAAACTTCTCAAGTTCTGTAAATGTTAGGAGAGGGCCCGTCCTTGGGCAAATTACTAATGTCTCTGGACCTAATGCTTCTGGCCTCAAATATGAGATCTGTAAAATCTCCCTTCCAAGGTTGCATAAGACCTAAGTGTGATCATTTACGTAAAGCACCTAGTACACTCCAGCCATGTATCACATTTTTGATGTCGTGGTTCTTTTTTTTTTTTGGTGAGACGGAGTCTTGCTCTGTCACCAGGCTGGAGTGCAGTGGCACTATCTCAGCTCACTGCAACCTCTGACTCCCTGGTTCAAGCGATTCTCCTGCCTCAGCCTCCCGAATAGCTGGGATTATAGGCATGTGCCACCATGCCCAGCTACTTTTTGTATTTTTAGTAGAGATGGGGTTTCACCACATTGGCCACGATGGTCTCCATCTCCTGACCTCATGATCCACCCACCTCGGCCTCCCAAAGTGCTGGGATTACAGGCGTGAGCCACCACACCAGGCCATCGTGGTTCTTTTTGCCCCTTCCTTTGAATCACCCCTTTAAAATTATTTTTACGCACACACATGCACACACACACACACACACACACACACACACACACCCTGAATACACCCGGCATGTGCAGAATGTCCTTCACTAGAAGCTTCCACAGAAGTGTCTGGCTTGTCCCTGCAGTACGCCATGTACACGTATTTGTATCTGGCAGCCCAGCCATTTCCAGTATGCAGTTTGAAGTTTTCCTAAACTGAAGGGGAAGAAAAATGGGATCACAACTTAGATCCTTTAGGGAAAAAAAATGTTTTTTTGTTTTTGTTTTTGTTTTTTTTTGAGACGGAGTCTTGCTCTGTCACCCAGGCTGGAGTGTAGTGGTGTGATCTCCACTCACTGCAAGCTCCGCCTCCCGGGTTCACACCATTTTCCTGCCTCAGCCTCCTGAGTAGCTGGGACTACAGGCACCGGCCACCACGCCAAGCTAATTTTTTGTATTTTTTAGTAGAAACGGGGTTTCACCGTGTTAGCCAGGATGGTCTCGATCTCCTGACCTCGTGATCTGCCTGCCTCAGCCTCCCAAAGTGCTGGGATTACAGGCGTGAGCCACTGCCCCTGGCCTGAAAAAACAATGTTTTTATCTATTCATTCTTAGCTGAGCTTATCCATTAGAAAAACAGGTATTCCTATAAACCAACATTTTACACCATTATTCCCAAAGCAACCCTGGAGGTGGGGGACTCCCGTCTTTATCAGAAAGGAACTTTAGCTCAGTAGAGTTGAGTGTTTCCCACACTCATGGGACATCCTAGGGAAGGGGGAGACACAAAACGTGATTTCTTCAGACTCCAAATCCCCTTTCCCAGTTTATCAGATTTTTGTGGATTCCCGCTTCAATGCCAAGACTTAATGTGGCTGAATAGAATGATGGGCTGATCTGGGAATGCAGAACAACCACCTGTTTCCAGATGTATTTTGTTTGGTCCATACAGTTCGTTTGGGGATATTTGTTTGCTGTGTTTGAATTTACCGCCAACATTAAAAAATGGGAAGATTTCCCATGGAATTCTATTCCTGGCTTCACTTAGGGAAAAAAAAATCAAACAGTTCGTTCGGTCAGCAAATATTTATTGAACATCTTCTTTGTGCCAGACATGACTCTGTTGTAGGCTCTTGCGATAAAACAATGGCGAAACAAGCTGGGGAAGGGCCCTATAATTACAAAGCTGTTGTTCTAGAAGAAGGAGACCGAGAATGAGCTAGTTTATTTCAGATGGCGGAGAAACAATTAAGCAGAGTGATGGTGGAGAGAGTCATTAGCTGGTCAGAGCCTTTGGAGAAGTGACATTTGAGCTGAGATCCTAACAACACCCAGAATCCTAACGTGGGCTTATCTCGGGGACAGGACATCCCTGGCAGCAACAGTGGTCAGTGCAGAGGTCTCAAGCTTGGAACCAGCCAGGTCACTAAGCAACACATCCCTCTAGGCAAGGACACAATGGCATCTGTAGGCATTTGAAATTTTTGTTGCTGTTGTTGTTTTGACATGATCTCACTTTGTCACCTAGGCTAGAGTGTAGTGGCATGACCGTGGCTCACTGCAGCCTCAAGCCCCTGGGCTCAAGCAAACCTCCTGCCTCAGCCTCCTAAGTAGCTGGGACTACAGGCACCTGCCACCACGGCCCAGCTAATTTTTTTGTTTTTTATTTTTTGTAGAGATGTGGTCTTGCTGTGTTGCCAGGGCTGATCTTAAACTCCTAGGCACAGGAGACCCTTCCACCTAGGCTTCCCAAAGTGCTGAGATTGCTGGCATGAGCCACCACACCCAGCCATCTGTAGGCATTTGAGTGCGCTGACTCCTGGCCTATAGTCTGACAATTGACCAGATTCCTTCTTGAATATATCAGAAATATTTCAGAAGTTGCTTCAAGCACTGGCCACCTAGTGAACCCGCTACAGCCACATGGTAGGAAATGGCATTAGGGCATTTTGCGGGTGTGGCAACTCTGCCTGACAGAGTTGCCACACCCACAAAAGGGCAAATAATTTAGAGAGGCGTTGCTACTCGGAGTGAGATCTGCTGATGAACGGCACCTGCATCACCCGGAGCTCGTTAGAACCGCGTTCTCAGGGCTGTGCACGGTGGCTCACACCTGTAGTCCCAGCATTTTGAGAAGGCAAGGGGAGAAGATCACTAGAACTCAAGAGTTTGAGACCTGCTCAGGTAACATAGCAAGACCCCATCTCTATAAAAAATAAAAATTTAGCCAGGCATGGTGGCATGTGTCTGTGGTCCTAGCTACTCGGGAGGCTGAGGTGGGAAGATCACTTGAGCCAGGAGGTCGAAGCTGCAGTGAGCTGTGATTGCACCACTGCACTCCAGCCTGGGTGATAGAGAGAGAACCTGCCTCAAAAAAAAAAATAAAATAAGAATTGCCTTCTCAGGCTTTCCTCCAGACCTCTGGATCAGAACCTGCACTTAGCAAGATCTCTGTGTCAACAAGCTCTTTAGCAAGCATCCTACCACATGTCTCCAGATTTGTAATTTCTCTGTTATGAGAACGCTCAGTTATTCTCTGCAAATTATCTGTTATGCTGTCTTTCATCCTGAGGATTTTTCCAATGCAGGGGACTAATGGCTGTGCCACCCACAATCCTTGTGTGCTCCCCACCCAGTCCCTTCTGACATGTAATTGCAAGATGGGTATTGGCCTCAGTGGGTAATGAACAAAATTTCTCTCCAGATGGGGCTAATTAGCTTGTATTCTGACCTACTTTCAGGAAATGTATATATATCTATTGTAAATTCAGAAGTCTCTCATTAAATTTTATTAATGCTATTATGTATCCTAATACGTCTAGCTATCTATTTAAGGAATAAAGTTTCTATAAGTCTGCCAGTATTTTGTGGTTTCCCATAACTGCTTCTTTCCTAAAACTTGTTTCAGTAAGTCTTACGATAGCTCAGCTAAAGCTTAAAGAAAAAAAAATCAGTTGCTTAAATTTAAGAATCTTTCTCAAAAACTACCCTAAAAATACCCAGGGAATGTGTTGCAGCTGAATACAGTCATCGTGTTAATTTCTAATATTCAACACATTCATGATTTCATGCTTCAAACAGAAGGTCGTTGGTTACAATGAGTTGCCCTTAATTTTATTCTTGTTTAAACCAGTCCTGAAATGTACTTGCCTACAGCTATGAGAATCCAACCATCTGCACATAACTTTTGCTCTTCAGTTTGATTGCTTTCAACAAGAATGATTAGATAATTGACCACCGGGCAAATACTTTGCTATATAATTAACAAGGAATGTTTACTTCTGACATATTTCATGGAAAAACAATTCCAAAGAAGGAAACCTAGCTACTCAAAGCCGTAGACTTTAATTTGGAAAAAAAGAGGACTATCCCACAGTGTCATAAATGTAGAAATTGTCACTGTTTCTGCCATACTGAAGAATGTGGTTTAAGGGCTGATGGCTTTTTATTTGATTTTAATGTGATTCTATGCTGATTTTGTTAAAGTATACAATAACATAGACTTAAGTATTGATAATTCTATATATACAGTTGGTAGGAACTTATGGAGATTATTGCTTAATGCAGATGAAAGCTCTAGGAAGCAAGTCATCTGTTTTCTAGAGAAATCTAGCATATTCAGGGATCTGGAAACGCCTGATGGTGATGATGGTGATGGTGATGATGATGATGTTGGTGATGGTGGTGATGGTGATGATGGTGATGGTGGTGATGGTGATGATGGTGATGGGGGTGATGGTGATGATGGTGATGGTGGTGATGATGATGATGGTGATGGTGGTGGTGATGGTGATGATGGTGATGGTGGTGATGGTGATGATGGTGATGGTGGTGATGGTGATGATGGTGATGGGGGTGATGGTGATGATGGTGATGGTGGTGATGATGATGATGGTGATGGTGGTGATGGTGATGATGGTGATGGGGGTGACAATGGTGATGATGGTGATGGTGATGATGGTGATGGGGGTGACAATGGTGATGATGGTGATGGTGATGATGGTGATGATGATGACGTTGGTGATGGTGATGGGGGTGACAATGGTGATGATGGTGATGATGGTGAGGGGGGTGACAATGGTGATGATGGTGTTGGTGATTATGGTGATGGGGTGACAATGGTGATGATGGTGACAATGATGGTGGTGACGATGGTGATGATGGTGGTGATGACGATGATGATGATGATGAGTGTTTGCCATGGATCTGAGAGGTGCATACCTCTTAAGAAGATTATTCCTCAAACGAGCTAGTGCTCACTCCATGCTAATTATTCATCCAGAGCCATGACAGCCCAAGAAAGCTAGTGATTAGGCAGAGCCCACAGCTGAAAAATGAAACAACAGCAGGTTCCCCAATCCAAGGCCATGCCTGCACCAGCACAAGTGACCTTGCCCCCCACCCTAAATGTTCCCAAATCTCTCACAGTGTGAATGTAGCTGTAGGAGTAGAAATGGCTATGTTTCACAGTGTGGACAATCACGTCTTCATTGATAGAACTTTTGGCAATGGGATTTCTGAGTGGCTGTGGCATTTCTTTCCGAGTCCCAGCTTATAGACCTAGTAGAATTCACCGCAGCCTCTTTCTGGAAAAATACATCTATTAGAATACATTAGCTGCAAGAAGTAAAGTACCCAGCTACAAGCGCTTAAATGACGAGGCCATTTAGTGTTTACGTGACAAAGAAACATGAGGCAGGTGGCTCTAGGATTGCACCAGTGGTTCAGTGATGTCACAGGGACGTTCAGCTCCTCTTCTGTGTCATCCTCAGCATGTCCTCAGCGCACACGACTAGGAAGTGGCAGACTTGGGTATCACATTTAGGATCATGTCAATCCAGGGAAGTCATCTGTATGGTCCATTGACCCTTTATGCTGCTGGGTGTTTATCTGCCCAGTGTTCTGAGGTCTGACATGCTAACAAATCTCAGCATAGTAACAGTCACTTGGGCTGGCGCGGGGCGCACGCCTGCAACCCCAGCACCTTGGGAGGAAGAGGCAGGAGGAGGATCACTTGAGCCCAGGAGTTTGCGACCAGCCTGAGAAGCATGGTGAAACCCCATCTCTACTAAAAAATACAAAAATCAGCCAGATGTGGTGGTGCATGCCTGTAGTCCCAGCTACTCAGGAGGCTGAAGTGGGAGGATCGCTTGAGCCCAGGAACCAGAGGTTGCAGTGAGCCAAGATAGCAACACTGCACTCCAGCCTGAATGACAAAGCAAGACCCAGTCTCTTAAAAAAAAAAAAAAAAAAAAAATACTCCCACTTTGTTCTTGTACTTTGGCTAATCTCTTTCTCAAAAAGAGATTTTAAGAATCTCTTAACATGTGAGATTCAGGTCCGATCTTTTCAAAGTCAATAGTGCTTGTAATATCAGGTCTGTCTGCTTCTTACCCAATGGTGAGAAGGTAATTGGCTGCTACGGGGGAGTTTCCAGGCAGAGTAAATGTGCCAGGCAGGAAAAGCCAGGTAACTGTGATCTCCTTAGGCCATATTCAAATTAGACATTGTTTTGGGCCGTTTTTCATACTTTAGAGTTCTTTTCTCTTTTGATGGCCATTTGTTAAATCTTTGAACTCACTTTTCTTTATACTTTGCAAATAAAAGTAGATTTCATTACTGGTTGGTAACCAAGCAGGAAAGCAGCACACTTGGCGATTGCTGGGAGACAGCATCAGATCTTGCAGGACACATCTTTCCCTGCCTGTCAGTTGTTATGTGTAATAATCATTGTAGTTAAATGTAGCTTCCAAATTAAGAATGCATGATGCTTTACACCCAGTGAACCTTGCCAGCTGGATGCATTACTCATTTTCAAAAAATTAGTAAGATAGTTCAACAAATTGTTTATACTTGAAAATATCTCCGAGTCTTTCCATTGTGTAAGGTCTAACTCTAAAGAATGATACTTCAAGGTGGGCATGGTGACTGATGCCTATAATCCCAATGCTTTGGGAGGCCAAGGCAGGAGGATCACTTGGGTCCAGAAGTTCAAGACCATCCTGGGCAATATATTGAGACTGTCTCTACAAAAAATACCAAAGTTAGTTGGGCATGGTAGCACGTGCCTGTAGTCTGAGCTATTTGGGAGGCTGAGATGGGAGGATCCCTTGAGCACAGGAGGTTGAGGCTACAGTGAGCCATGATTGCACCACTGCCCTCCAGCTGGGTGACAGAACAAGACCCTGTCTCAAAAGAACAAAAAAGAAAATGACAGTTCAGACAAAAACTGACCTGAGAGTGTGGTGTGGAAGAAAACAATACTGAACTTGGATTTCAAATATCACTGTTCCGGCCGGGTGCAGTGGCTCACACCTATAATCCCTACACTTTGGGAGGCCAAGGGGGATGGATCACTTGAGGTAAGGAGTTCGAGACCAGCCTGGCCAACATGGTGAAACTCCATTTCCATTAAAAATACAAAAAATTAGCTGGTTGTGGTGGCAGGTGCCTGTAATCCCAGCTACTCAGGAGGCTGAGGCAGGAGAATCACTTGAACCCAGGAGGCAGAGGTTGCAGTGAGCTGAGATTGCACCACTGCACTCCAGCCTGGGCAAAAGAATGAGACTCTGTCTAAAAAGAAATATATGTATCACTGTTCCGTATCTGATTTTGTCCTCCTGTCCCTCACACTGCCTGTGTATCTTATTTCAGACAGAACTGTAATAAGGTTGTGTGTTTCCCAATAGCATACAGCTCCAGGTGGGAAGCTGGGGGGTGGTTGTGGTGGGGGAGCAGAGTTGATAACAGAACACTGATAACACGTTATAAGGAAGAAAGAAAAGGGAAATAAACATGAGGGTAGGGGGGAGTATTCAGCGCAAGAGCAAACAACTTATAATCCCCACCTCTGTATTCTTAAGGACATTCATATGTCAGAACCTAGCATTGTAGTTGATCATAATTATGACCCTGAGGGATGAAGAAAAGTCAAAATTGTATTCACATTCACAGAGCAGGAGGAAATGATGCTTTTTAGAATTTTTATAAATGGCCTTTTCAAGTTTTGGCAAAGAGTCAGGTTACGTAGAAGAGTAGCTCCCAGATGGTTCAGGAGGTGTCCTGGGGATGGCTGTGGTGGGGATTGGGGGGACGTCTCTTTGCCCTCATGCAGGGAAGCTTACCTTTTATCTGTTTCATGTATTAGTTTCTGCCTAAGAATCCATTAAAGAGGGGGTTCAAATGCTTTAAAAACTATGTAACAATCAATGATGTAGAAATTTCAGTAACGCAGAATTTCATCCCTTGATGATGCCAGAGAGATCACCCCGTAACCTTCACACACATGCAGTCCCGGTAACAGGCCCAGCCATAGGCGTTGATTGGAACAGAGAGGCACATGTCATTGTCCAGCCACCTCCTAAAATGCCGGCTGCACGACCAGGTTGGCGCAGCTGCAGTGGTGCGGCTTCTGCAGGAAGAAGCCTGGGTTTCTGGGGTGAGGCAGGAGGAGGCTGTAGGGTCCTGCTTGCCTTCACCACATGACCTTGCCTTGAGTCTGCAAGTCCCAGCGGCCACCTCAGCTGCTTGCTTGTGCAGAGGACACTAAGAGGCAGTGGTAAGCCCCTGGAAGAGGCTGGGAAGGGCAGAAAGAGAAGCTCAGGGTGAAGGGGGCTTGAGCAGGTAGCCCAGCTGGGCTGCTGTCACATTAGGGACTGTTGTCTGTCAGACCCCAAGGAGACAGGCTTAAGAAGGAGAGCCCTCTGGGCAGATGTCCTCACCCAGGAGCATCCCAAGGCCTCCATGCTTAGGGGCAGGTGGGCCGACTTGAGAGGCCTTGCAGTGGAGCTTTCTTTGGTTCGTGCAGCAGGAACAACCTGGTTCCTCCCTTGCTCTGTCTCAGCAGTGCCCGAGGCTCTCACCGCATGATGAAAGGGCGCCCTTCCTGGTTGCAACACCCAGCGGTCCCATATTCAGCAGAAGAGACTTTGCAGAGGCCTGTGTGCTCTGCCATCCGGTACCACCAGTAAAGAATCCTGGCCCTGGTGCCCGCTGCTCCGGTGGTGAAACTGTCTGCATCCCACAGTGGCATCAGGATTCCGCCATGAGAAGCATGTGTTTCTAGTACACAATTTGCTAATTCCCATACTCCCTGGAGCTTATTTCCTCCCACAAAACACGGAAAGCATGAAATGCTTTTGCCAGTAACAGCATGATTGTTGAATCCCCAAAGAGTGTCACGCTTTAGCCATAGTAGGCTCTTCCCCAGCTGGTTCTGTTCCCTTTAGTTTGAAAGGGCAGCATCCCAGGCATGATCAGACTGCCATGGGGATATCCTTCCCTGCCTACTGCACCCAGCCTTTCACAGGTTACCAGATATTATTTTTTGATTGCACCTGTAGCTTCCACTCATTCTGAAGGTCTCTGGAGTTCCTACTCTATGCATATCTCTAGGTGCTGAGAAGAAAACAAAAGGAACGCAAGACACAGGCCACACCCATGGAGTTTACGATCTAAGAAAGGAGATAAGACTGAGGGCCACAGGCTAGCCACGGAAGGCAACGTGTGTTTTTGGCAAATGGGTGATGCAGTAACACTTGCCCAGGATGTGCCAAGACACGGAAGACCCATGTGTCCTAGAAAGGCCTCTGGAAAAACACTGGGCTTGATTTGAATCTTGAAAGACTGGGTAGATTTTTGGAAGAGAGAAAAACTATATGAGGTTGGAGCTACATTTGCAGGCAAAGTCACAGAATGGGTAGAGGTGTGCATTGTGAAGACTGCCTGGCAGGAACTAAAGAGGGGGTTGGGGACTGTATTAGTCTGTTTTCACGCTGCTGATAAAGACATACCTGAGACTGGGAAATTTATAAAGAAAAAGAGGTTTAATAGACTCACAGTTCCACATGGCTGGGGAGGCCTCACAATCATGGCAGAAGGCAAAAGGCACATCTTACATGGTGGCAGGCAAGAGAGAAAACTTGTAAAGGGAAACTCCCCCTTATAAAACCATTAGATCTCCTGAGACTTATTCACTATCACAAGAACAGCACAGGAAAGACCTGCCGCCATGATTCAGTTATCTCCCACCAGGTGCCTCCCACAACACACAGGAATTGTGGGAGCTACAATTCAAGATGAGATCTGGGTGGGGACATAGCCAAACCCTATCAGGGGTAGAAGAGAGGAAGGAAGTGGGAGAAGCTCCAACCATGTGTGCCTCCGTTTCCAGGTCCCCCATGTCCTCCTGCAGCAAATGGGGTGTGAAGATCGTCCCAGAAGGATGCCTAACTCCTTTCCAGCCCGGGCACAGCTGCTCCGTCCTGTTCACCCGGGGCCTCTGTGCTCCCATCCCCACTTCCATCTTCACATGTCATCCAGGCCCACCACACCAGGCCTTTGTACACACTGATCCCTGGGTAGAATGTCCTCCTTCTCTTTCTCCTGGCTCCCGCCCTGCCCCATCTCTCCCCATCACTGACAACCCCTGCCTGTTCATCAAAACTAAACTCATCCCAATCCTTCTACACCCACCCCAGGTGGGTGTTTCCTAGCTGACCCTCCAAGCAGCTATGTCTTCTTCAGCCAATGGACTTTCTGGCCTCCACCAGCACCACTGCTGGACTGCAGGCCCTCCAGAGTGAACTTGGGGACTCATTAGTCTGGTGGGGTCTATATATGTGGTCACCCACTAGGCTTGTCCCAAATGTAATGTGGAGGGGTTTTTTTTGTTTTGTTTTGTTTTATTTTTAATTGAGATAGAATCTTGCTCTGTCGCCCAGGCTGGAGTGCAGTGGCTCAATCTCAGCTCACCGCAACCTCCGCCTCACAGGTTCAAGTGATTCTCCTGCCTCAGCCACCCCAGTTGCTGGAATTACAGATGGGAGCCACCACACCCAGCTAATTTTCATAGTTTTAGTAGAGACGGGGTTTTGCTGTGTTGCTCAGACTGGTCTCAAACTCCTGACCTCAAGTGATCCACCAGCCTCAGCCTCCCAAAGTGCTGGGATTACAGGCATGAGCCACCACCCCCAGCCAATGTGGAGCTATTTTTTAAAGTCTGTTTCAATTGGTTATCGTGTGTTTTAGAAGGGAAAGGCAACTTAGGGAGAAAGGCAGGAGAAAGGCAGGTGTGCATTCATGAATGAGCAGGACTTACTCTGCTTCCAGCTCTCACCCTCTGGGTCCCGTTTAGCCTAACCCAGAATCTGCTGTTTGACAAGCAGTGACTCAACAATCTAATGTGGGGAAAACAGCAAACCAAAGAATGCACAGCCCTTTCCTGGCTGATGCAGAGAGGCTGAGAGCATCACTGTAGTGGGCCAGCTTTGGGGAGGGGATACGACGTGTAAGTCATGAGCTGAACGGGTGCCAAGCCTGGAGCGGGAGTAGGAGCAGTCGCAAACATTCTCTACCTTTGAGGAAGCTTTCTTACCATCAGAGAAAACCTTTTTCTTACTTTTTAAAATTATTTTTTGTAGAGATGGCATCTCACTCTGTTGCCCAGGCTGGTCTCGAACTCCTGGCTTCAAGTGATCCTCCCACCTTGACCTCCCAAAGTGCTGGGACTATAGGCGTGAGCCACCATGCCCAGCCCTTTTTCCTCAATATGTCAAACATCTTACGTTGTCGCTCCCCTTGTACAATAGTCCTGTAGAACAGGGTGATTTCTAGGAGGGTGCGCTTCAGGAAATGGACCAGAACCGGGCATCCCTGCCCTCATACCCATTTGCAAAACCTTGCTTACAGTCTGCTCTTTCTGGAGCCCAAACCCTTTGGTGCAGTGATCCAGCCTGTGGCGTGGGAAGGGGGAGATGCCGAGCCCTCGCTGGTGCCCGACTTGTCCCACGTGCCCACTGTGTGCCGCTGCCATGTGAGCAGAGGAGCGGCTGCCAGGGGAGGCATCACCAAGGGCATCTTTCCACCCACTGCATTTGAATGTTGCTATGGCAACTGATAAGGCCTCGAAGCAACCCAAGTGTTGTTTCTTTCTTCAGGGGGAATAAAAATCCATTACCACCACCTCTGCATGAGGCGTGTAGCTAAGCAAGGCAAGCATTTGGGTAGAATACAGGCATGAGTCACAGGATGATGATTGGGTCAACGATGAACTACATGTACAATGATGATCCCATAAGACTATAATTCTGTATTTTTACTGTACCTTTTCTATGTTTAGATACACAGATACTTCCCATTGTGTGACGGTGGCCTATGGTATTCAGCGCAGTCACACGATGTACGGGTTTGTAGCCTAGGAGCAATGGGTTAGACCGTGTGGCCCAGGTGTGTAGGAGGCAGTACCATCTAGGTTTGCATAAGGACGCTCTATGATGTTTGCACAGCGATGAACAATGCATTTTCAGAATGTATCCCTGTTAAATGATGCATGCCTGCATTTGGTGCACAGCTGGTCTATTTAGGCCTTAGAGCCACAGGGTCGCCCACGTAGCCATTTCAGGTGAGGATGATTATAGGAGAGAGGTGAGCTGCACAGGAGGCCTGTGTATGCCGGGACATCTCCATGCTGATAGGTCGGAGTGGGTGCGCGGGCTGTCTAGAGGTTCGCCCAGCCTCTCCCTGGCCTTCTGCCCACAGCTGCCATCGCAGGCCTCAGAGCAAGGCTCTCTGCAGGTGAGCCCAGGAAAAGGCATCCATTTTTGGCTGGGAAATAGCCCAACAACCTTGGGCAAGTTCATCCTCTTCAATGAGTTTGCTCCTAGAAACTTCACAAAGTAAAAATGCAATCAAATGCTGGGAAGGTTTCTAGGAAATGCAGCCTGGCAGAGCAGAAGAAATAGCACAGCCTTGAGGTCAGGCAGCCCCAGGTTCTATTCCCACTCTGCTCTCAGCCACCGAGAGGCCTTGGAAAAGTTTTGTAACTCCCCAGTCTTCATTGTTGTGGTGAGAATTATAGATGGTGTATTATAAGACACGTATGCTGTGAATAGCTAGTGCATAGCAGGTGCTTGTTACTTTCAAATGCTAGCTAAAGTAATAACTGGAAGATACAGCAGGGACCTTGATGTATTTGGTGTTTCCCAGCATTGGAACAAACTGGAAGCTTTTAAAAATGCTCACTGAAGCCAGGGTTACTGGATGAGAGTTTGCAAAGATGGGATGAAGGGATCTATTTTTTCAAAACACCCCTAGGTAATTCTGATATAGCCAGTCTGCAGCTCTGGATAGAAAATTTGCTCAAGGACAAAGAGCTTGAATAGAGCCGGATTTCCCCCTCTCTTTTCACTCCCACCAGCCCCCATCATGCTGCCTGTATTCTGCTTCTGAGTTCCAAAGGCTTCTGCTAAAATCATCTGTGTTTGGAAGGAGGGTTGTTTGATAAAGTGGCTGAAAGTAATTTAATTGAGAAGGCAAAGGAACACTAAAGTTGCTTATCTTTCCCTGAAAGGAAATTGAAAAGAATTTCTCCAGAAAGCTGCCTGGGGTCCCTAGATGACACTTTGGCCATCTTGGTTATCTTATAGGTCATAAACATGACATTTAAGATATTTAAGATGACTTTTACAATATGCTCAAGCCTTACAAAGGAGCGTGGTGTGCTTGTAGCTAACATCTCTTTCTCAATTCCACAGGAACGTGGCTGAAGAGCGGTCTGGGTCTTGTGCACCAGGAAGGCAGCCAGCTGACGTGGACATACATTGCCCCCCAGTTGGGGTACTGGGTGGCCGCCATGTCCCCTCCCATCCCAGGTAACACGGAGCCAACACTTGCGATGATGCGGATCAGTTGCTTTGGTCTTTGAGGGTTCAGGCTAAGTATGCTCTTGAAAATAACTTCAGCAGGGCGATCACATCTTATTCAAAAATGGTTAAAAGTCTGAAAATGAGATGATGTAAAGAAGGTATTTTGCGGGGGTGGGGGACTTCTGGTTGGAAATCTTCCATCTAGGGTAAGAATAATGCATAGAAAATAGTCTTGAGTGGCTGTTTTGTTCAGACAGCTGCCATAGGGAATTCTTCATCAAAAGCCCACAGAGACCAGCAAGACCTCCTCCCTAATTCCTGAAACAGCTGTGGCCTGGTATAGGCACACATGTAGGGAAAAGCACTCCACAGAGATGCTAGTGGGAAGTCACCACTGGGGGCAAAAAGCCTGGTGGGGCATTTCCAAAATGGCTTAAACGTAAACCAGTTGCTTTGTATCTACGAGAATCTTCCCCTCCATTTAGGATATGTGCATTAATGCATATCTTTCAGAACGTGACCAATAGTTTATTTTTTTTAACCTATGTTACCCCCAAAAATATTCTAGAATTGTTGAGTTTTGTTTTGTTTTGTTTTGTTTTCAAAATGGTCATCTCAGGAGAATTATTTCCAGTGATAGCTTCTGTTGCTCAAGCTGCCTTTAGAATCTATATTACTTGGACTGCCTTCTGCCTTCATTAGTAAATCTCTTTCTTGGTGGCAAATCTTTATGCTCAAATGGCAAATCTTTATGATTTTTCTTTTTAAAGACATCTAAAAGTCATGCACATTCAAGACTGGTGAATAAAGTAGGTGACTTAGCTAGGTCGAAATGTGCTGTGATTAAAAGGTGTCTCTTGTAAATGAACCATGAAGGCAGTTCTAAAATGCAAGTTCAAATATTTTAGCAATGGAATTATCACTGGAATTAGCACTTAGACTCACAAAGTAACTGATTTGATGGAGGTCTTTCCTAAACAGGTGTGGAAAAATGTGTTACAATGACTTTATATCACCATACTAAGAAAATTTACACTTCACATCTGTTTTAAGAGTAATGTGTTTCCCTTAGCCGGGCGCGGTGGCTCACGCCTGTAATCCCAGCACTTTGGGAAGCCGAGGAGGGCGGATCACGAGGTCAGGAGATCAAGACCATCCTGGCTAACATGGTGAAACCCCGTCTCTACTCAAAATACAAAAATTAGCTGGGCGTGGTGGCACACGCCTGTAGTCCCAGCTACTTGGGAGGCTGAGGCAGGAGAATCGCTTGAACCCAGGAGGCAGAGGTTGCAGTGAGCCGAGATTGTGCCACTGCACTCCAGCCTGGGCGACAGAGCGAGACACCCTCTCAAAAAAAGAAAAAAAAGATTAATGTGTTTCCCTTGATGCTATTGTTTTTGTAGTGATATAAGCATGAACCACACGTAGAAATGCCCCATTCTCTGAATCTGAAATACCTAGATTATGACTGAAGAGAAACAAAGGAAGGAAAAGAATTGTCTTAAGCACTAAAATAAATGCCATAAAGCCCACGCATTAAAATGAACTTTAATTTTAGATGTATTTCAATCTCAGCTATTAGTTTTCCCATCATGCAGTAGATCAGTACATGCTTTTTGTGTGTGTGTGTTTTGGTTTTGTTGTTGTTGTTGTTCGTTTGTTTTTTTGAGACAGAGTTTTGTTCTTGTTGCCCAGGCTGGAGTACCATGGCATGATCTCAGCTCATGGCCACCTCCGCCTCCTGGGTTCAAGCAATTATCCTGCCTCAGACTCCAGAGTAGCTGAGATTACAGGTCTCCGCCGCCACACCTGGCTAATTTTTGTATTTTAGTGGAGACAGGGTTTCACCATGTTAGTCAGGCTGGTCTTGAACTTCTGACCTCCGGTGATCCCCCCGCCTCAGCCTCCCAAAGTGCTGAAATTACAGGCATGAGCCACTGCGCCTGTCCAGTATATGCTTTTGTAAGGCAGCATGAAGGAACTGCCAGACGTAGCTCCCCTGAGAGCTTCCTAGCAGTGAAGGAAGAGACTCAAGGCTATAAAAAGCATACACAGGCCAGGGCATGGTAGCTCACACCTGTAATCCCAGCACTTTGGGAGGCAAGGCAGGATGATCTCTTGAGCCCAGGAGTTCAAGACCAGCCTGGGCAACACAGCAAGACCCCACTTCTAAAAAAATTTTTTTTAATTAGCCAGTGATGGTAGCATTCACCTGTAATCCCGGTTACTTGAGAGGTTGAGGCAGGAGGATCCCGTGAGCTCAGGAGTTCAAGGCTGCAGTGAGCTATGATCATGTCACTGCACTCCAGCGTAGGTGACAGAGTGAGACCCCATCTCAAAAATAACACAAAGCATACCCACTACAGCCTCTGATGGTATTTAATGTAGGGATACATATGTCAGTCATCTCACAACCCACCTTTATTACAAAAAATTATACTAATATTGGGCTTTCATGAACTCAAAAGCAACAACAAAATAATTTGGGTTATGTTCCTTAACTCCTTGAAGTGAAGTATAGCTGTGAATTTTATAAAGAATCGTACTGGCAGAGATTAAAACAATAATGCTGGCCAGGCACGGTGGTTCATGCCTGTAATCCCAGGACTTTGGGAGGCCAAAGTGGGCGAATCATGAGGTCAGGAGATCAAGACCATCCTGGCTAACACGTTGAAACCCTGTCTCTACTAAAAATACAAAAAATTTGCCAGGCACAGTAGCACACACCTGTAGTCCCAGGTACTCAGGAGGCTGAGGCAGGAGAATTATCCGAACCTGGGAGGCAGAGGTTGCAGTGAGCCCAGATCGTGCCACTGCACTCCAGCCTGAATGATAGAGTGAGACTCCATCTCAAAACAAAACAAAACAAAACAATAATGCTTTGAGTACTTAAAGGACGAAGCATCAGTATTTGGAAATACTTTTATGTGTACCCTAAGTTTCTTGGTGACTCCTGACAAAGCTTTGCTACATCCGTGGGAATTGTCTATTGTCTTTGCATGAAAAAATTGTTTCTCTGGGCCGGGTGCGGTGGCTCATGCCTGTAATCCCAGCACTTTAGGAGGACGAGGCAGGTGGATGATGAGGTCAGGAGTTCAAGACCAGCCTGGCCAAGATGGTGAAACCCCATCTCTACTTAAAAAAATTAGCCAGGCATGGTGGCGGGCGCCTATAATCCCAGCTACTCAGGAGGCTGAGGCAGGAGAATCACTTAAACCCAGGAGGCAGAGGTTACAATGAGCTGAGATCACACCACTGCACTCTAGCCTGGGTGACAGAGCAAAGACTCCGTCTCAAAAAAAAAAAAAAATTGTTTCTCTGAACAAGTAAGCCAGTATCTAATTGTCAGTTATTTTTCCAATTTTTGTAAACTTTAACCCCCTCCTCGCACTCCATTGAAGTAATTATATCTGAAAGAGAATGGTGTTTCTTGTGAATTTAAGTAACATCACTGTTTTCAAAAACTGGTAAATCTTGGGTTTATCTAGGTCTTAAATTAGGAGATTTGTCCCCTTAAGAAGATTTTTTAAAAAGTCTATGTCTTAGAATGTCAAAAATCAAAAATAAGCAAATGGGTGTCTGTGGTGTTTAATAATCATAGCCATGCTACCCTGAAATAATATGAGGCCAGTTCATTTCGACCCATGTATTCATACACTGCCAGGAAACTCGGACACCAATAAATACCTAAATATTGGAATGTTGGGAGGTTTTTGTTGTCGCTGATCTGTTGTTAGTAACATTAAGATAGATTTGTACTACTACGGAACATAAAATGTGAGTTAAGCTACCTCTTGGGATTTTTTACAACATAAACTTAAAATATTTTTATCTTTGATAACCTTATGTATAAGTTCTAAAGAGATCTCTGGCCACGTAAGGTTAGCTATTTTGAAAAGCCATTGTAGAGAAAGATCTTGTTTTTAAAGATGGATATCATTTTAGTCATATTTGATACCTGTATTAAGTGTTAAAAGTTGCTGACTTTTTTAAGTCACAGGAAATGTATGTCATACATTTAAACTGATTCATTTGGGCTAGGGGCTCTCCAGACGGTAATGATTGACTGCCCGGGAAAAGCGAAAATAAAACTTTGTAGGGTTTTTTTTTTTTTTTTCACTGCAATATAAAATTCCCAGATAGGCCATCTTTCTGAAGGTGAGAGTCCCAGTCATTATATCGTCATGCGTTCATTTTCTTGTATGAAAAGATCATATGGCTGGGCACAGTGGCTCATGCCTATAATCCCAGCACTTTGGTAGGCCGAGGCAGTGGATTGCTCGAACTCAGGAGTTCAAGACCCACCTAGGCAACATAGTGAGAACATTGCCTCTAAAAAAAATTTATAAAAATTAGCCAGGTGTGGTGGTGCGTGCCTGTAGTCCCAGCTATGCTGGAGGCTGAGGCAGGAGGATTGATGCAGCCCAGGAGGTCAAGGCTACAGTAAGCCATGATTGTATCACTGCGCTCCAGCCTGGGTGACAGAATGAGACCCTGTCTCAAAAAAAAAAAAAATTAAAAAGATCATGTATTTCAAATGCGGCACATGCTACCAAGTGAGGCGCACTTCTCCGCTTAGGAGGGGCCCTTGACGTAACCACATCTTGTCTTTGAGTATTCAAAGTTCTCCTGGCTGTGGGAGCTTCCATAATAGTCATGCTAATCACTAATGCAATGCTGGTGGTACCCCAAGTGCATGATCCAAGGGCGTTTTCCTCTGGCCACTGCTCTATGCCCCAGCTAAGAAGAGTAAGCACAAGACACTGCGTTCTCAATGAATGATCCCTCTTTTGAGTTAAAGGTGTTCAAAACTCTAAATGCCATTTTCTGACCTTCTAGGTCCCGTTGTAACACAGGACATTACCACGTATCACACGGTGTTTCTTTTGGCCATTTTAGGAGGAATGGCTTTCATACTTTTGGTTTTGCTGTGTCTCCTTTTATATTATTGCAGGTAAAGTGTTACCATTTTGGCAATATCTTTTTTAATTCACAGTTTCTTGGGCAATTGATACTTAGAAGCATTAATATGGAGGTGGGTTTTTTTTTTAATTTTTCTAAATTGAAGTACTTTTTCTTCCCATGAAAAAGTAAGAACTCACATTTGTGATCTAAGTTGCAACTTAACAAATAGTATGTGTAAAGCATGCTGCGTGGATAACATTGCTTAGAAGGGGAGTTATGAAAAAGAGTTTAACAATAGTCATCTGATTTATTCAGAGTATTCCTGAACGCTGATTAAGAGATGATACTCTGAAGGGCAAAGCAGAACTCTTCTTATTTGGGCCAGGGACGTTGGCTCACACCTGTAATCCCAGCACTTTAGGAGGCCGAGGTGGGCGGATCACTTGAGGTCAGAAGTTCGAGACCAGCCTAGCCAACGTGGTGAAACTCCGTTTCTACCAAAAATACAAAAATTAGCTGGGCATGGTGGCACACGCCTATAATCCCAGCTACTTGGGAGGCTGAGGCAGGAGAATTGCTTGGACCCAGAAGGTGGAGGTTGCAGTGAGCCAAGATTGCACCACTGTACTCCAGCCTGGGCAACAGAGCAAGACTCCATCTCAAAAAAAAAAATTATTCTTATTTAGATGCCGTGTCTGTTTAGTTTGCAAGAATATTTATTGTCAACTCTTGAGTAACCCCTTTGAAATAAGTAACTTGGCTTATAAAAGCCTTTAAGTTTAGCTGTTTTAAAAAGGCATTATAGAGGAAAAATTTTATTTTTAAAAATGCAAAGCATTTTAGTCACGTTTGAGACTCTTTAATAAGTTGTTGACTTTTTTAAGTCATAGAAAAATGAATGTCATACATTTAATTCATTTAGGCAAAGGGCTCTCCAGACAGTAAAAGATGAAATCTCTCGATTATCCTACTCTAATAAGGATAAAATAAGGATAAGGGCCAGGCATGGAGGCCTAGCACTTTGGGAGGCTGAAGGGGGAGGATTGCTTGAGGCCAGGAGTTTAAGACCAGCCTGGGCAACACAGGCCATCTCTACAAAAAAACTAAAAGTCAAAAATTAGCTGGGCATGGTGGCATGTGCCTGCGGTGCCAGCTGCTCGGGAGGCTGAGGTGGGAGGATCACTTGAGCCCATGAGGTCAAGCCTGCAGTGAGCTATGATCATAGCACTGCACTCCAACGTGGGCGACAGAGCAAGCAAGATGCTGTCTCAAAAAAAAAAAAAAAAGACAGGGCGTGGGGTGAGAAGGCTTTTGGCTGCTCCTGACTTGTTTTGTTTTGTCTCTCCCCATGGAAATTGAGAATTAGGATTTTACCTGAAACTTGAAACTTTTTCATTGTGAGAATCACTAATCTTTGGCTTTGGATTGTGTCTTTGGGCGCAGGAGGAAGTGCTTGAAACCTCGTCAGCACCACAGAAAACTGCAGCTCCCTGCAGGACTGGAGAGTTCCAAAAGAGACCAGTCCACGTCCATGTCACACATTAACTTGCTGTTTTCACGCCGAGCGTCAGAATTCCCTGGCCCGCTGTCCGTCACCAGCCACGGCCGCCCCGAGGCCCCCGGCACGAAGGAACTGATGAGTGGAGTCCATTTGGAAATGATGTCTCCGGGCGGCGAAGGGGACCTGCACACCCCCATGCTCAAGCTCTCCTACAGCACCTCCCAGGAATTTAGCTCCCGGGAGGAGCTCCTCTCTTGCAAGGAAGAGGATAAAAGCCAGATCTCCTTTGATAACCTCACTCCAAGTGGGACGCTGGGGAAAGACTACCATAAGTCAGTGGAGGTTTTTCCCTTAAAGGCAAGAAAATCTATGGAAAGAGAAGGCTACGAGTCCTCGGGCAATGATGACTACAGGGGTAGTTACAACACCGTGCTCTCACAGCCTTTATTTGAAAAGCAGGACAGAGAAGGTCCAGCCTCCACGGGAAGCAAACTCACCATTCAGGAACATCTGTACCCCGCGCCTTCATCACCTGAGAAAGAACAGCTGCTGGACCGCAGACCCACTGAATGTATGATGTCGCGATCAGTAGATCACCTCGAGAGACCTACGTCCTTCCCACGGCCCGGCCAGTTAATCTGCTGCAGTTCTGTCGACCAGGTCAATGACAGCGTTTACAGGAAAGTACTGCCTGCCTTGGTCATCCCGGCTCATTATATGAAACTCCCCGGGGACCACTCCTATGTCAGCCAGCCCCTCGTCGTCCCGGCTGATCAGCAGCTTGAGATAGAAAGACTACAGGCTGAGCTGTCCAATCCCCATGCCGGGATCTTCCCACACCCGTCCTCACAGATCCAGCCCCAGCCCCTGTCTTCCCAGGCCATCTCTCAGCAGCACCTGCAGGATGCGGGCACCCGGGAGTGGAGCCCTCAGAACGCATCCATGTCGGAGTCTCTCTCCATCCCAGCTTCCCTGAACGACGCGGCTTTGGCTCAGATGAACAGTGAGGTGCAGCTCCTGACTGAAAAGGCCCTGATGGAGCTTGGGGGTGGGAAGCCGCTTCCGCACCCCCGGGCGTGGTTCGTCTCCTTGGATGGCAGGTCCAACGCTCACGTTAGACATTCATACATTGATCTCCAAAGAGCTGGAAGGAACGGAAGTAATGATGCCAGTTTGGACTCTGGCGTAGATATGAATGAACCAAAATCAGCCCGGAAGGGAAGGGGAGATGCTTTGTCTCTGCAGCAGAACTACCCGCCCGTCCAAGAGCACCAGCAGAAAGAGCCTCGAGCCCCAGACAGCACGGCCTACACGCAGCTCGTGTACCTGGATGACGTGGAACAGAGTGGTAGCGAATGTGGGACCACGGTCTGTACCCCCGAGGACAGTGCCCTGCGATGCTTGTTGGAGGGGTCGAGTCGGAGAAGTGGTGGCCAGCTGCCCAGCCTGCAGGAGGAGACGACCAGACGGACTGCGGATGCCCCCTCGGAGCCAGCAGCCAGCCCCCACCAGAGAAGATCTGCCCACGAGGAAGAGGAAGACGATGATGATGATGACCAAGGAGAAGACAAGAAAAGCCCCTGGCAGAAACGGGAGGAGAGGCCCCTGATGGCGTTTAACATTAAATGAGCTATCGCAGACCCACCTGACTGTGGAATATAAAATTGCCAAATATCCTTTCTCATGGAAGCGCGTACCCGTTCGTGGAGGAAACGGAACGGCAGCCCAGCCGTGGGACGGACGTGGACGTTTACTGCATTCCTGTTTGCCGTGTAAATGTTAGAAAGGAATTAAAGTTATTACTCGGAATAAAGGATGACTTTGGCGGATGTCGCCCCTGCAAGGAGGTGGCTGAAAGTGGTGTCCAGATGTCCTTCCGAGGACTCGGCGTATCCGCCACCAGGGACATTAAGAAACCGCACGTGATGTCGCTATGCTCTAACGATCACCTCAGTTCTCCCTCGGATTCTGGGAACAGATGAAACTTTTTGCATCGCTTGAGTCATTTTTATCACAATAATCCTACTGTGAAGCTGTCGTTGAGAACTTAGGTTGGCACGTAGCGTCTCAAGGTATGCGTTCTCTCAAAGGAAAGCTATGCATCGCTGCTTCGTTGTCTGATTTTGCTTAGATTTTGCTTTGGTTAGGTTGCGTTTTGGGGTTTGCCTTTTTTTGTTGTCGCTTAAATGCAATTTGGTTGTAAAGATTTGATTCCTTTGTGTTCATCTGTTCCGCTTCTCAGCGGTCCATCTCAGCGTCTCCCTTCAGGAACCGCTGAGTGTCCTCTCTTAACATCCAAGCCTTTTAATGAAATCGTACTGAAATCTGTATCAGCTAAGAGTCCTCCAATCCTGGTCCCATTAACTCCAAGTGCCTTTTTGACAGTGACAACAGACAGTCCCTCGCTTTTTGTTGTTGTTGGTTTTCTTAACCCCTTTAATGGAACTGCCTGGATTTTATACAGTTATTAAAGGATGTCTCTTTTGCTTTAAACTGCATGCTGCCAAGTGCCATTTGGGGTCAGCATCCTCGTTTCAACACAGTGTGCTCTCTAGTTATCATGTGTAACGTGGGTTCTGTTTAGCGAAGATAGACTAGAGGACACGTTAGAGATGCCCTTCCCTGCTCCATCCCTGTGGCACCATTATGGTTTTTTGGCTGTTTGTATATACGGTTACGTATTAACTCTGGAATCCTATGGGCTCATCTTGCTCACCCAATGTGGGAGTCTGGTTTGAGCAAGCGAGCTGAATGTGACTATTAAAAAAAATTTAAAAAAAAAAAAGAAAATCTTATGTACTATCCAAAAGTGCCAGAATGACTCTTCTGTGCATTCTTCTTAAAGAGCTGCTTGGTTATCCAAAAATGAAAATTCAAAATAAACTCTGAAGAAAAGGAAAACTGTCTTTGTGGTCATTTGAATTCATTCTGAGTCATTATCTGTTTCAAAGTTGTTATTAAGACTTTGTCAGGCCAAGCATGGTGACTCACACCTGTAATCCCAGCACTTTGGGAGGCCAAAGGAGGAGGATCACTTGAGCTCAGGATCACTTCAGCCCATCTCTGTGAAAAAAATTTTTTTAATTACCTGGTTATAGTGGCTCATGCCTGTAGTCCCCACTACTTGAGAGGCTGAGGTGGGAGGATGGTACTGCTGCACTCCAACCTGGGTAAGAGAGCAGATCCTGTCTCAAAAAAAAAAAAAAAAAAAAAAAAAAAAAAAAAAAAAGTCTTTGTCATTGTTTCCTTGGTGGCAGTCTGCAACGCAGTTGTCAGACTTGTATTTGGAGACCCACCACCTAGACACCTAGGAATTTCCTCTAGGGTTAAAATCTATAAAAATCCACCTTTGTCTGTAGTTTTGTTCAAGAACACCAAATAACATTTTGATGTGTTTCAGGTAAAGAGGGATGTCTGCACTTAACAAGAATCTGATGTTTTATGGTCAGTATTGATCCATCTTGGAAGAGCTTCAAGAAGATATCATTAGAATGACCAGAATCCTCCCAGATGTATAAAACTATTCATCAAAATAAAATCATTAATGGAGGTGTTGGGACATAACTGGCAGAAATAAATTAAGCCAGCTATGTTTACAGTCAACAAAATCAGTATTTGTGAATTCCATGCAGGCAAAGAACTAATCACAGTGGTTTTGATGATTTTCATTCTCAAGTGGTGGTGTTGCCTGTTTGGCTTTTAAGGGGGAAAATAGTTGAGCAAGTCCTTGACAGTGGGACAGCTAGCCAGATGGGAGCCTGGGGGCCTAAGGAGTGAGACGCCCTTTGCGCGGGAGTGGACATCTCACCAGTAAGTGGCAGGGGCATCCTTGCAGACCTGGCTAAGACTCCAGGGAGAAGGCGTTGGTCAGCTCCCCTGAAAAGAATAAGGAAGTTGCTCCTCCAGGAAAATCCAGGGCCAGACCTAGATGAGGAGGGACGAGGGAGGAAGTCCCGGAAGACCTCTCTGCTGTCATTGACCCCAGTCCTTTGCGGCTCTAAGGTTGCCGCCAATGGAATCACCTCCTTAAAACGTCAGTTTCTAGAAGAGCCTCATTTAATGCATGTTACCTGGGAAAGTCGGGTAGCACATTAACTGTAAGCGCTGATCCTGAGAGATCTGGCAGGAAGATGGGGGTGGAGAAGACTGCTTTGCTGACTCCTCCTTAGGTGAGACTCACCTGGATGGGCCCCGATGTATTAAGCAGCCAGCAGCAGTCACAGCATGCCGTGTGCCGAGGACAACAAGCAGGTGGGTTTGCAGAAGGGCAACTGGGTCGGCTGAAGATTTTTATCACATTTTAACAGTTGTCCTAACTGGGGCTCAGTGGTTCTCATTTTCTCAGGATGCCAACGCTGATCACTAGAGTGGGATTCTCTGAATGCAGCACCGTGGCCACAGACTTTACACATTTATCCTCTCTCTCCCCACGGAGGGTGGAAGGGTGAATATGTCACAGTATTCCAAATCAGTTACGTGGTCTGAAGGACGACAGCCATCAAAGGCATCTTGCTCCCGCCCCCTAGTGGTGAGTTTTCCCCACCTGTAACGGTTTAGTCCAGACACACAGGGCCACTCTGGGAAAGTAGGGGTGGGCGTGCACAGGGGTGAATCTGCCACTGGGTCTCTCCCCAAGGTGAGGTGGGTGGAGAGAAGGGGACTGAGGTTCCTGGAGTCTCTACCTGGAAACAATGTATTGGAAACAATCATTGCATTCAATCCTCAAAATCTTTCAAGGAAGGAATGTTTATTCTTCTTTGTTTTGCACTGAAGTTGAGGCTTAGTGGTTAAGTAATTGAGGTCACCCAGCTAGAAACAGTGGTGCACGGCTTAAACAGCCAGCTCTCTGGAAATGAATGCACTTAAATTATAAATGTCCCTGATAAAGGATGCATAGGACAGAACTTACAAATGGAATACATAATAATCTGTATAATGAAATACATAAGGCTGGGCGTGGCAGCTCAGGCCTGTAATCCCAGCACTTTGGGAGGCTGAGGTGAGTGGATCTCTTAAGGTCAGGAGTTCAAGACCAGCCTGGGCAACATGGTGAAACCCTGTCTCCACTAAAAATACAAAAATTAGCTGGGTGTGGTGGTGGGTGCCTGTAATCCTAGCTACTCGGGAGGCTGAGGCAGGAGAATTGCTTGAGCCCGGGAGGCAGAGGTTGCGGTGAGCCGAGATCACGCCACTGCACTCCAGCCTGGGCAACAAGAGCGAAGCTCCGTCTCAAAAAAAAAAAAAAGAAAAGAAAAGAAAAGAAAGTGTGTGCCCTAAGCTCTGCCAGGGGATACACAACATCATTTAAGTGATAGTGACCCTGTGCATTTGGAACTTTATTTAGGATAAACTAGCACAGACAAATGCAAAAACAAAGAGGCATCGCACCCAAGAAAATGAAACCAAAACCAAAAAGGAAGGAAACCAGAAAGCCACAGAATGGTACGTAGGCCACAAGCATGACAAACTCAGTGTGATTTCTTGTGTTCACCCTCTCACAGACATCGCTTATGCAGGTGTTTAGACCTAGAGGACCTCATAAAAATGAGTAAAGTTAGAAATGGGGGGTGATTTTTCAACCATATTGATATTCCACGATTTCTTGTTTGCTGCATTGACACCATAGTTAAAGCAAGTTGCAATTATGTCTTGGGGACTTTTATGACATCACAGAGAACTTGAAAAGGGCATGATGGTTGTCATGGTCCTTCAAACAGGAGAAGGCAGTGACAAGGAGAAAGGCAGTTGCTCTCATAGATCAGGGAGAAAGCCAGCTAAACTCCAGGCGAAATAGAAATTGCAAGTCTTCTCCTCCCCGCCAAAAAAAAAAAATGATTTTCAAAGCTGTAATTGTAAATATACACTAAAATACCTGGCAAATGTTTTTTCCATTCTTCGCAGCCATTGTGAGTTGTTTCAGGTTGGTATTTTGGTACCTTCAAAGTGGCTCATAATTCTCGCATTGCTAGGCTTTTGCACCTTAACAGGATGGGCAGGAATAGAAGAACCTGAAAGAGGCTTGGTGGTCTCACAGCAGAGGAAATTGAAGGCTGAAGTCACAAGTGTTGTGTTGACCTTTCCACATATGCAATGGGTGACCACACAGAGGTGGGCCTCATCTCCTGACACTCGGCCCAGTGTGCAGCCACCTCTGCATGCTGCTGCCCCATCTCACCTCACTGGCACCCTCTGCTATCTGTCTACAGTATGCATTCAGCACTCCATAATGAGGGTCTAAGGCATAAGTAAACCATGCTAATTATTAAAATCTAGGATTTGGAGAAGAAGCTCTGGGTGTCAGGCCTGGCTCTGACCAACAGACAGGTGACTCACTTCTGATGCTTTAGCAAGAGGTTGGGGGTATTTGCTCTCCTCACCTCTGGGTGAGTTGAATTCAAGTGAGACAATACATATCAAAGTTTTTGTAAGTTGTAAATTACAAAAACAGTTTATTTCTCTGAACTATTACTAGTATCTTACAGTTCCCTAATCTTGTTGCTCTAGTGTGACAATGGTCATTTTGGGGCTATATCAGCTGCTTCTCAGCTACTTTTTAAGGAAAATGGTAGACAAAACAGTGGCATCTCTTTTTCCCCATTCTATTACTTTTGTTTGTTTGTTTTTTTGAGACAGAGTCTTACTCTTTCACCCAGGCTGGAGTGCAGTGGCGCTACCTTGGCTCACTGAAACCTCTGCCTCCTGGGTTCAAGAAGTTCTCCTGCCTCTGCCTCCCTAGTAACTGGGACTACAGGCATGTACTACCATGGCTAACTTTTGTGTTTTTAGTAGAGATGGGGTTTCACCATTTTGATAGTTACTACTGAATGTCAATTTGATTGGATTGAAGGATACAAAGTATTGATCCTGGGCGTGTCTGTGAGGGTGTTGCCAAAGGAGATTAACATTTGAGTCAGTGGGCTGGGAGAGGCAGACCCACTCTTAATCTGGGTGGTCACCACCTAATCAGCTGCCAGCACAGCTAGAATACAAAGCAGGCAGAAAAATGTGAAAACAGAGACTGTCCTAGCCTCCCAGCCTCCATCTTTCTCCCGTGCTGGATGCTTCCTGCCCTCGAACATCAGGCTCCAAGTTCTTCAGTTTTGGAACTCGGACTGGCTCTCCTTGCTCCTCAGACTGCAGACGGCCTATTGTGGGACCTTATGATCATGTGAGTTAATAATAAACTCCCCTTTATATATACATATGTGTGTATATATGTATGTGCATGTGTGTGTGTGTATATATATATATTATTATATATAATATATATATTCCATTAGTTATATCCCTCTAGAGAACCCTAATACAACCATGTTGGCCAGGCAAGTCTCGAACTCCTGGCCTCAAGTAATCTGCCCACCTCGGTCTCCCAAAGTGCTGGGATTACAGGCGTGAGCCATGGTGCCCGGCCCCATCGTACTGCTTTCTGCAAGCTTCAGCTGAGTAATATCTCCTTTGCTCAAAGGGGATGTTTTGCCTGGTGTCTGAAGATAGCCAGTGAGCTCTGTGAAGGTGCAGCCTTCTTAAAGATTTGTCTGGAAACATGTGTTAGGACACTGTCTACAAGGCAATAATGTTAGGGTAAGTCCCCAATCACCATAATTTGCTACTGAAAGCAATACCTCTGTAAAACATGGCAGCCGTTCTTGAATTCTTGAATTGAGTTGCTCTATGGTAATAAGATAATGTGCATGTAACTATAGAACAGTGTTGCTCAAACCTGGGGTGTTAGGCCATTCCTGTGTTGCTGTAAAGGAATACCTGAGGCTGGGTGATTTATAAAGAAAACAGGTTTAACTGGCTATGGTTCTGCAGGCTGTACAGGAAGCATGGCACCAGCATCTACTTGGGGAGGCCTCAGGGAGTTTACAATCATGGCAGAAGGCAGAGCAGGAGCAGGCATCACACATGGCCAGAGTGGGAGCAAGAGAGGTGCCATAGTTTTAAACCAGATCTCACGTGGACTCACTCATCAGCAAGGGAACAGCACCAAGCCATTCATGAGAGGTACCCCTGTGATCCAAGCCCCTCCCACCAGGCCCACCTCCAACACTGGGGATCACATTTCAACATGAGATTTGGCGGGGACATGGATCCAAACCATGGATACATGTTAGCATCCCCTGGGAGCTGGAAAAAAAATATTAAAGCATTTGGGCCCCACCACAGACTGATTGAATTAGGATCTCTGTAGGTGAAACTGGTTTAAAAACAAAACAAACAAACAAAAACTCTCCCTAGCTGATTCTCATACACAGGCTTGTAGACCACTGCTTTAGAAACATTGAAGCTACTTTACAGCCTGGTAGCACCTTCCATTGGGTACCTCAGGGAATTATTCACTTTTCTCTTTGTTTCTGGGGTCGATTAACAGCTATACCCCAGATTTGCAGTTGGGGAAGCATTTATGTGAAATAGCATGTCAAGTTGGGCAGCAGTGCCTAACAGATTTCTCTCTTCCTGTTCACAATGGCCTGTTGAAAAACCGAAGGTGGACACACTGTGTCAACATGTCTTGGCTCTACCGTCCGTCCTCTTCCCAAGGTCCAGGTTATTCCTGCCATCTTGCCCGAGCAATTTCACATCACTGCCTGTTTGGGACTCCCACGTCCGTATCTGCATCCCAGGCCTGCCACTGAGTTCAAACTGCAGACTGAGCATCCTCAAGCACCTAAAACTCTATTTATTATCTTCATGTTGTCCCGTGAATTCCCTACTCCTCCGCAAATCAGGGAAACCAGTTCTCCTAGTTTTTGCCTATGTACTATCCCAATAAATGGCCTCACCATATAGTTTCCTTGGCCAGAAACCTCAGGGTCACCCTACAAACATCTGTCAACCTCACCCCCAAATCCAGGCAAGTTCTTTTGACTCCACTTGCTGTCAGGAAACAATATGAATTTTTTTTTTTTTTTTTTTGAGACGCAGTCTCGCTCTGTCGCCAGGCTGGAGTACAGTGGCGCGCTCCTGGCTCACTGCATCCTCCGCCTCCTGGGTTCAAGAGGTTCTTCTGCCTCAGCCTCCCAAGTAGCTGGGATTACAGGCACACGCCACCATGCCCGTCTAATTTTTGTATTTTTAGTAGAGATGGGGTTTCACCATGTTGGCCAGGCTGGTCTTGAACTCCTGACCTCGTGATCCGCCCGCCTCGGCCTCCCAAAGTGCTGGGATTACAGGTGTGAGCCACCGCGCCTGGCCAACAACATGAATGTTTTCATGTTTCTGTGTAGCTCAGTTTCCTGAGCAAAAGTTACTGGCAACCTAGTATTAAAAACTCTAGACAAATGTAACAGTTTAATTGAGCAAAGAACAATTCTCGAATCGGGCAGCCCCCTTTGTCATGCCAGACCCCTATTAATCTCAGTAGGGATGGCACCAGGTACAAGAGGCCAAAGACGAGATCCCGCACCAGCGAAGGAGACGTGGGTTTTATTGGGGGCTTACATACAGGGGAGAGAGTCCAGTGGCAGTGGGCCAAGCAGGAAAACTGCAAATCCTTGCAAAATGCATGCAGTTTAGATAGCATTTTCATTTTACACCCTCCCTCTAACAAATTCCACCTGGCAACCTTCATTTAACCCAAAACAAAGGGTCTCAATCCCCTGTACGACCTGTGTTCCATGGGCCAGGGTGGGGGATCAAATGTTTTTCATAGAAAAGGAATGGATCTCGGGGTGGGCTACTCCCAGATTCCCTAGCATGGAACTCTGAATACACATTCAGGTGTGCCCGCCCTACAGGGTCATTCTCAGAGTACGGTCAAGTTATCAGTGCCAGGTGCTCCTACCCTACTGCCTGAACCAGAATAGGCTGAGGGAGACTCCGGCACTGCCACCATGTCAGAGGCAAAGGAAAGTGACGTGAGGTCCAGAGATAGCCAAATTGCCTACTGCTTACCATTTCTCTCACTTGAAGGCAGTTTAAACAGTTGGCCCCTTTGATTGGCCAGAACTCGGTGATTGGTAAGGGCAGTTACCAGTCTGTTTGTACATCCCGTTATAGTTCCCTATGTGGGAGAAACCTTTAGGCCAAATTTACAAGGAGGCCGCTTTAGGCTAAACTTAATTTAACACTGGATTAAAGGATGAGGGAATATTAATCATTTTGGAAAACAGATCGTGAATTACTCTGGAGAGATTTGCGGGTTTATCTCTCTTGGAGCTGTGCCTTTGCATTCATTGATCTGCACTGGCATTTGCTGTAACACATAGGGCCTTCCCATTCTCTTCCCTATGACAATTTGTTTCCATTAGAAAGTTAGGATTTCTGGCTGGGCGCAGTGGCTCATGCCTGTAATCCCAACACTTTCGGAGGCCAAGGCGGGTTGATCACCTGAGGTCAGGAGTTTGAGACCAGCCTGGCCAACATGGTGAAACCCCGTTCTCTACTAAAAATACAAAAAAGGTTAGCCAGATGTTGTGGCACATGCCTGTAATCCCATCTACTCGGGAGACTGAGGCAGGAGAATCACTTGAACCTGGGAGGCAGAGGTTGCAGTGAGCTGAGATCGTGCCATTGCACTCCAGCCTGGGTGACAGAGCAAGACTGCATCTCAAAAAAAAAAAAAAAAAAAAAAACGTTAAGGTTTAGGGTTTCTCTCCAAGTCTCTAGAAGGGATGGGGGCAGCTATGATGTAGTTCCTATATAATCTCTGAAATTCATAATTTAGGGGTTTCTGTCTTTTAAATGCTATCCATTGAGGGCCCGAATGGAACAAAACAGAGAGACAGGAGTTCGCCTCCTTTTGTTTTTCTGCCTCACTGTTGAGCTGGGTGATCTCATCTCATCTTTTTTTGCCCTTGGACTGGGACTTAGCCCCATTGGCCCCCTGGTTCTCAGGCCTTCAGCCTGAGTTACACCACCAGCTTTCTTGGGTCTCAGTTTGCAAATGGCAGATCGTGGGACTTCACAAACACCATCATCTTGTAAGCCCATTCCTCCTAATCTTCTTTTATATACACACCAATTGGTTCTGTTTCTCTGGAAAACCTGATTAATAGACCTGAGGAATGAAACTGTAACCTCTCAGTGGGTTCTTCTTGCCTGCTGCCCAGATGCAGCCAATTTATCAAGGCAGGGGAATTGTAATGGAGGAAGAGTTTTACCCACATAGAGCTGGCTGAATGGGAAACCAGGGTTTTATCATTATTCATATCAGCCTCCCTGAAAATTTGGAGGCTAGGATTTTTCAAGGATAGTTTGGCAATCAAGGGAACGGGTGCTGCTGATTGGTTGGGGGTGCAATCATAGGGGTGTGGGGAATGGTCATTGTGAGCACTGAGTCTGCTTCTGGGTGTGGCCCCAGGACTGGTTGGTGGGTCCAGGTGAAGCCATTGGTCAGTCATCAGAAATGCAAAAACCTGAAAAAGGCATCTCAAAAGGGCAATCTTAAATTCTATGATACGATGCTATTTGCAGGAGTGATTGGGGAAGTTGTACATCTTGTGGCCTCCGGAACAATGGCTGGTAACCATTTCTGTCTACACCCTAGCAGAACTCAGCTTCCTATCAGTCTCCTAACCTGATTGTCTTTCATTAGCTTTACAAAGGTGCTTTAGTTTGGGGAAAGGGCTGTTATCATTGAAACTGTAAACTAAGTCTCTCCCAAAGTTAGCTTGGCCCAAACCCAGGAATAACTATGGGCAGCTTGGAAGCTAAAAGCAAAATGGGGGTTGGTTGGATCAGATCTCTTTCACTGTCATCATTTCCTGTTATAGTTTTTGCCAAGGCAGGTTCAAAACCAGGGAACCAACTGTAAAAGACAAAGTATAATAATAACTCCCTAAAGAGTTTCATTTTACACACCACTTTCATAATACATTCCTTTTTTGTTGAGACACAGTCTTGCTCTGTCACCCAGGCTGGTGGGCAGTGGCACAATCTCGGCTCACTGCAACCTCCCACGTTCAAGTGATTCTCCTGCCTCAGCCTCCCAAGTAGCTGAGACTACAGGCGTGTGCCACCATGCCTGGCTAATTTTTGTATTTTTAGTAGAGACAGAGTTTCACCACGTTGGCCGGGCTGGTCTCAATCTCCTGGCCCCAGGTGATCTGCCAGCCTCGGCCTCCCAAAGTGCTGGGATTACAGCCCCAGCGTAAGCCACCACGTGAGCCACCACGCCCGGCCTCATATTACATTATTGTGTTATGATTCTCACAGCTACCCTGCTGTATAGCTAAGGCAGGTGATGTTAATCCACACTTGCATTCAAAGACACTGAAATAAATTCTTACCAAAACAGTGGCGAAGACCCAGGATTTGCACTGAAACTCACATGCTGTGTTCAGAAGTGCAGTATTCTCTCTACCCCACACAGCTGCCTTAGAGAGATGAATTCCAGGGCTGGGAACCACGGCTAACACTTAGTACCTCCCACATTTCCAGAAGGGCTCTAAACGTGTCCTGTGGTCCTTACAGTCAACTGGTGAGGTTATTTCTTCTGTCATTTCACAGACAAATAAAGAAGCAGAGTAACTTCATTTATGAACGGTGCTCTCTGCCACTTTGCAATGCTTATTCAATAGAGCTGCTTTCATTATGGAAAGCTAAAAGCTTTGTTTCCCAGAATGCTAACCATTTTATAAACAGTATAACATAATTATAAATGTCTTCCAGAAACACAGTAATAGTAATGTTAAATGATCCTGCGAGCCTCAGAAAAATAACTTGATAGCTACTCTCCGAGGTTGGTTATTTTGGAGTCCTAGTACATTAGTCACTCTTCAAAGGCCAGAGAAGGTAAGAGAGAAGGTTAAAATGAGATCAGATGCCCAGCAGTGGGAAATTTCACATTTGAGATGATGAGACCCATAAATGGGGCATAATGATGGCAAATAAAAAATATCTACTTGGAAACAGAGAAAAGCTCAAATTGCATTGAAGATCAGTTACATTTTTCCTGGACAGAGGACAGAAAAATTTTCTTCTTTTTCTTGAGTAAGTGAAAAGGAATATAAGGTCTTTCTCAGGGATGAGGTTTGCCTTTTCTGGATTAAAGGGTAAAAGCTGAAGAGGCACATCTTCAGACAAGTAGCAATAGAGAACAGAGACAATTCTTGGCCATAGAGCATTTTTGAGGATCTCATATGAAAGATAGTCATTTTTTAAAGATGTCATTTTTCTATAATACTGCAGCTAGCTCCCCTCAGATCATCACCGGGATAAGACAGCATCAATGGATATGTTGCCCAGGCTGGTCTCAAAATCCTGGCCTCAAGCAACCTCCCACCTCAGCCTCCCAAATTGCTGGAATGACAGGTGTGAGCCACCACACCTGGCTGCAAGTTGAATTTCTTTGGATGTCTATTCTTTGTGCCTGAAACTTCAGATTGACGTACTTAGAAAATATAGGGCTGAACTGACCCCCATATAACATCTTGACTTTTTCAACCAAACTTTAATTATTTCAACTGAATAATTTAAAAAAAAATTTTACCCTTGGTGACAGCTGTCAAATGATGGAATATCTTGTGTGAATTAGAATCTCTTGATTTTCAGGAATACCATCATAATAACAATGATGTTGTGATTTTTTTAACTTGAGAATGACCTTTGGAATAATTAAAAAATGCCTTGGTATGACTCAATCCTTTTCCTCCCTCTGTCCTCTGAGGCTTTACCACTGACCTGGAATTCAGGATTCCAGAAATCCTTGGTGAATGAAGTCACCACATTCTTTGTGAAATTATTCACAAGTGTGATCATTATCAGTTATCTGTTTCCTTTGATAAGGTTACTCCCAATTGTTTCAATGTGTGACTCTATAGATAAAATCGTATTATAGTTTTGTTATGATTCATATCGCTAGTATGCTGATAGTCTAGATAATAACAGAGTGATGATATTGTTGTGGCTTCTTTATTCCAAGTAATATCAAGCCCCAATAAAAAAGTTTGGTTTTTCTTTTCTGAGACAGGGTCTGGCTCTGTCACCCAGGCTGGAGGGCAGGGGAGTGATCACAGCTCACTGCACCCTCAAACTCCTGGGCTCAGGTAATCCTCCTGCATCAACCCCCCAAGTATCTGAGACCACAGATGCATGCCATACCAGTCGGCTAATTTTTATTTTATTTTTATTTTTCGTAGAGATGGAGCTTCACATGGTTGCCCAGGCTGCTGTAGAACTTCTGGCCTCAAAAGATCTTCCTGCCTCAGTCTCCCAAAGTGCTAGGATTAAAGGTGTGAGCCACTGCACTTGGCCAATAAAAGTTTTGAAGATGTGAATAGGAAATTCACCAGGAGCTTCCTGTTCACCTCCTTGCTTCAAGTTTATGGAAGTCTTGACTTATCCTTGTCCTTGTCACCAACAAGCCTTGTAGCCGCAGCCTCTGCTCAGGGGGACAGTGTTCCCACCCTCTTCACCAGTGAAGCTGCTGAGATCCCAGGGCAGCTGGCTCCTTCCCATGGAAAGATGAACTATGATTCCTCATTTCCCCAATAAATTTACGATTTTGCTGAGAAAACAAATATACATATTTGAGAAATTTAACAGTGCAAGCAGATAGAATATCAGACATCAAAATCTGTATGAAATTTCTCCACCTCGGAGAATGACTGAGTTTTGGCTTCACTCACACTAAATAATGAAAAAAGGGAACAAGCAGTGTAGGTTTCACTCAGGATGAAAGCCCTGGAACCCTAGAAGATTGTGGGGATAGGTAATGGATGGATTCAACATGCCTTTCTCTTAGGACTGTCTGAGATCTTACAGCTGAGATTAGCATAAACATCTTTGAAAGACAAATTCTGGTTGTTAGAGAAAACTATGTCATTATTCAGAGGGGACTGTCAGGCACCTCTTTGCTGAAGAGGCCACACAACACAGAGTGGGGGATGCCTCTTGCTAAATAATGTTTCAGCCACATGTGGCAAAGAGTTCAGAGACCTGAGGGAGGTCCAGTGCAGACTGAACTACAAACTTCAGCCTTCACTGTCTTAAGAATAAGTTAGTCTGGGCTGGGCACAGTGGCTCACACCTGTAATCCCAGCATTTAGGGAGACCAAGGTGGACGGATCACCTGAGGTCAGGAGTTCGAGGCCAGCCTGGGCAACATGGTGAAACCCTGTCTCTACTAAAAATACAAAAATTAGCCAGGTGTGGTGGCACACCCCTGTAATCCCAGCTACTTGGGAGGCTGAGGCAGGAGAATCACTTGAACCTGGGAGATGGAGGTTGCAGTGAGCCGAGATCCCGCCACTGCACTCCAGCCTGTGCCATGGAGCAAGACTTCGTCTCAGAAAAAAAAAAAAGAATAAGTTAGCCTTGGCCGGGCTCGGTGACTCTTGCCTGTAATCCCAGAACTTTGGGAGGCCAAGATGGGTGGATTGCTTGAGCTCAGGATCTTGAGACCAGCCTGAGCAATATGGGGAGACTCCGCCTCTACCAAAAAAAAAAAAAAAAAAAAAAATTAGCTGGGCATGGTGACACATGCCTGTAGTCCCAGTTACTCAGGAGGCTGAGGTAGGAGGATCACTTGAGCCCAGGAGGTCAAGCCTGCAGTGAGTTGTGTTCATGCCACTGCGCTCCCGCCTAAGTGACAGACTGAGACTCTGTCTCAGAAACAAAACCAAAAAAAAGGTGGGGGACACTTGCATGGCAGCTCATGCCTGTAATCCCAGCACTTTGGGAGGCCAAGGTGGGCAGATCACTTGAGCTCATGAGTTTAAGACCAGCCTGGGCAATACAGGGAAACCCTATCTCCAAAAAAAAAAATGCAAAAATGACTTGGGTGTGGTGACCCACAGCTGCAGTCCCAGCAACTCAGGAGGCTAAGGTGGGAGGATCGCTTCAGCCTGGGAGGTGGAGGCTGCAGTGAGCTGAGATCGCACCACTGCACTCCAGCCTGGGTGACAGAGTGAGATCCTGTCTCAGAAGGTTAGTCTTAAGAATCCTTTGAATGGATCAGAAAGGGAGAGCCCTTCTCCAGAATTGGATACCGGTGTAACAGGGTGTCAGTGTGCGGAATTTACAAAGAGAATGCCTGGAAACCGGCCCCACAATGCTTAGTCCACTTTAAAAAGGGTCATGAGAGACAGTGAGAGCATTTTGGAGGATTTCTTTGGACAAAGCAGTGCTGATAACTCCAGGCACCCTCCCACCCTCTGACCCTATCCCTGCTTTACTCCCAAGCCCAGGGTTAGGGGAGGGGGCAGAAACTTCTGCGAGCAAAGAGGCTAAAGCTACAGGAGGGAGAGAGAAGTGCTGACCACAACTCTCCCTCTGACCACATGTTCTCCATTATTGCCATCCCCTCCCACCCCAGCAAAGTAAAGATTGAATGCCAAAGCAAACTAATTCAATACATTAATTCAAATGTTCAGTCCTCTGCACCACAACTGCAGCTCAGGAGCATGGCTTCACAATGCGCCTTCCAAGTTGCAGCAGGGATTCTGCAGGATCCTGACTCAAGGTACACATGAAAGCCAGGTGCGGAGGCTCATGCCTCTAATCCCAGCACTCTGGAAGGCTGAGGTGGGTGTATGGCTCCAGCCCAGGAGTTTGAAACCAGCCTGGGCGTTATGGCGAAACCCTGTCTCTACCAAAAATACAAAAATTATCCAGGTGTGTTGGTGCATGCCCATAGTCCTAACTATGGAGGACTGAGGTAAGAGGATGGCTTGAGCCTTGGGAGGCAGAGGTTGCAGTGAGCTGCCACCATGCCCAGCTAATTTTTTGTATTTTTAGTAGAGACGGGGTTTTACCATGTTGGGCAGGATGGTCTCAGTCTCCTGACCTTGTGATCCACCCACCTCGACCTCCTAAAGTTCTGGGATTACAGGCATGAGCCACCGCGCCCGGCCCCCTAAATCACCATTTTTAATCTCCCTAAGGCAGAAGCCGAGATGGAAGCCTGGCCATTAAATGAAGGGCTGGAATGGATAAAACCCAGCTAGCAAAAAGATAGTTCCAGATTAAAAGACTATGCTAAGCATGCTATCTGGCTTTGGTTACAGCCGAGATGAAAATGATGCTATTCTTGGTACCCTTAAATAGAGTTTGTTTCTTTAACTTCAGCCTCATACTATGATGTTTGACACATCCTGTTTATCATTCTTTTAGGTGGATCTAGTTCTGTTAAAGATATAATTCTGTATGACTCAATCTTTGGCTTCCTGCTCCACTTTATTTTTCTATTTTTTGGTTGACCCAGGTCATAATGCATCCATAAATATAAAAGGGAGAATGAAAGAACCAGAGAGAGCTCTCTTCAAAGCAGGCCCAAGTTGGTCTTATTTTTTTTTCACCACACATTTGTGATATCTACGGGTGCAGACAGATGGTTTCCAATGATGCTTATTTTTCTCATACTCTTCGTTTCTTCAGTATCCAGAGCAATTGATTTTAAAATTATTCTGAAGTGCATCAGGGTTCTGGGGGTGGGAAGATAACCCGGGCAGGTGACATCTTCCGATCTTTATTGAGTCATGTATTCGGGTCTTAGGCAATTACTGTTTCAAAAACGATTCCACCTTTTTTTAGAAAAAAAATAACGTTGGCTGGTCATGGTGGCTCACAGCTATAACCCCAGCACTTTGGGAAGCTGAGGCAAGAGGATCACCTGAGCCCAGGAGTTGGAGACTAGCCTGGGCAACACAGTGAGACAGCTCCACTAAAAAAAAAAAAAAAAAAAAAAAAAAAAAACGTCACATGTGGTAACGTGCACCTGTAGTCCCAGCTACTCAGGAGACTGAGGCAGGAGTATCACTTGAGACTGGGAGGTGAAGCCATGATCACACCAGTGCACTCCAGCCTGGGTGACATAGTGAGATGGAGGGAGGGAGGGAGGAAGCAAGGAAAGGAGGGAGGGAGGGAGGGAGATGGGGGAAGGGGAAAGGAAGAGAGGAAAGAAGGAAGGAGGAAAAGAAAGAAAAAGAAGAAAGAAAGAAGAAAAGAAGGAAAGAGAAAAAGAGTGTTAAAAGAAAATCATAATGTTTGAAAACCATTTTCCTAGGCAGTGGCAAGAGGGATTTATTTGTAGCTAGTTGTGTGATTGTGTTTTAGAAAAAAAAAAAAAAGATGTAGCAGAGAGCACTGGGCAGAGGAAGAGGATGACAGCCGCACTCCTAGAACAGAGCCATTTCCCAGCGCCGGGAGTGTGGGCTCACACCAGAGGGAGAAAACGGATAGGAAGCTGAGTCCACTCAGCATCTTCCGGGGTGGCAGCAAAATCCTACACTGGTTTCAAGGTAAGGCTTAGGGAGAGCGAATGTTCCTAAAACTGAGTTATTCGAGGGATTAAAAAAATTAGCAGCTGCCCTCAAAACTGTAACTCAGAGAAAAAAGAGAAACTCATGCAAAGAGAGAGGGTCACTGCTTCCAGATCTACGTCTGACGGTTTGACGTCATCACAGAAGGTGGAGCCAGAAGGCCGTCAGAGGTCACCTGGTCCAATCTCCTCCTTTGCAGATTTAATGCAAGGTTAAAACTGAGGTTGGCTTCATTGTCCACACAGAGGTGACCTACTTTGGTGATATGCAGTAGCGTCCAGCCCAGCCCAAGTGGAGCCCTTTCAAAATGGATTTTCTACTCTAAAAAAAGGATAATTTTGAGGACCTTCAGAGATAATACATCAGGAGCATGATCTAACTGGGGAATCTTTTCCCATGCTTTTTGCCCTACATATGGATTTCCTGGCGCCATCTATCCAAAGCATTCCACACCGAAGATATGTGGGGGCGTGATGGCTGAAAAATATCTATGCATAAATTACAAGTTGCTATTTTTAATCTGAATCTGCCTTAACTATTTCCCCTTCCCTTCTTTATTGGAGAACATGGGCAAATTCTGTTAAGTAATAATTTCCTGTTGAGTAAGAGTTAGGTTTAGTCCATTGTTCTCTTTTTTTTTTTTTTTTTTTTTTTTTTGAGACGGAGTCTCGCTCTGTCGCCCAGGCTGGAGTGCAGTGGCGCGATCTCGGCTCACTGCAAGCTCCACCTCCTTGGTTCATGACATTCTCCTGCCTCAGTCTCCTGAGTAGCTGGGACTATAGGTGCCTGCCACCACGCCCGGCTAATTCTTTTGTATTTTTTAGTAGAGACGGGCTTTCACCGTGTTAGCCAGGATGGTCTCAATCTCCTGACCTCGTGATCCGCCTGCCTCGGCCTCCCAAAGTGCTGGGATTACAGGCGTGAGCCACTGCGCCCGGCCGTCCACTGTTCTCTTGCCGGTGTTTCCATTGACTCCCGTTGCTCATATCCAGGTCTTTAAAGGCTGATGTCAGAGAGGATCAAGTCTCTAATGATAGTGCGTGCTGTTTTAGTTTATTCAGTGTCATGCCCTATTTAGCAGTTATGTCTCAAGTACTATGCAATAAGCACTGATATAGTCCGGATATTTGTCCCACTCAGTTCTCGTTGCAATGTAATCCCAATGTTAGAGATGAGGCCTGGTGGGAGGTGTTTGGGTCATGGGGACAGATCCCTTGTGGCTTGGTGCCATCCTTGCAATAGTGAGTTCTTTCATGTGAAATCTGGTTGTTTGAAGGTGCATGGACCAGGCACAGCGGCTCGCGCCTATAATCCCAACACTTTGAGAGGCCAAGGCAGGTGGATCACTTGAGCTCAGGAGTTTGAGACCAGCCTGGGCAACATAGCAAGACCTCATCTCTACTAAAAATTTGAAAAAATCAGCCAGGCGCAGTGGCTCACGCTTGTAATCCCAGCATTTTGGGAGGCCAAGGTGGATCACGAGGTCAGGAGTTTGAGACCAGCATGGCCATCACAGTGAAATCCCATCTGCACTAAAAATACAAAAATTAGCTGGGCGCGGAGGCGGGCGCCTGTAATCCCAGCTACTTGGGAGGCTGAGGCAGGAGAATTGCTTGAACCTGGGAGGCAGAGGTTGCACTGAGTTGAGTTTGCGCCACTGCACTCCAGCCTGGGCGACAGAGCTAGACTCCGTCTCAAAAATAAATAAATAAATAAATAAATAAATAAATAAATAAAAATTAGCTGGGCATGGTGACATGTGCCCATAGTCCCAGTTACTCAGGAGGCTGAGGCAAGAGGATTGCTTCAGCCTGGAAGATCAAGACTGCAATGAGCCATGATTGCACCACTGCACTCCAGCCCAGGTGACAGAGCCAGACTCTGTCTCAATCAATCAATAAGTGTGGCACATGCCCGTCCTGTCTCTCTTGCTTCCACTCTCGCTATGTGATGTGACTGCTACCACGTCACCTTCCACTGAGAAATAAAAGCTCCCTGAGGCCTCCCCAGAAGCCAAGCAGATGCCAGTGCCATGCCTATACAGCCTGCAGAACCGTGAGCCAATTAAGCCTCTTTTCTGTATAAATCACCCAGTCTTAGGTATGTCCTTATAGCAACACAAGAACAGCCTAACACAAGCACAAAACAAAGTCCTGGAGATGCAGAGATAAGTACAACAGGGTTCTGTCCTCACAGCTCACTCGTGCAAGGAGTCCTAGCAATAAGTGTGGTGGATAATTTTCAAGTTTGGTTTGGGATTATCTCACGTTGTTCGAACCAAAAAAGGTGAAGCAATTTCAGATTGTAAGTTGTTATGGTCATGCTGATGGTCAGGGTGCAAATAGAAAAGTTCAAGCCATTCCAAGGACTGTGCTGGTCAGCGCAAGATATACAGGGATACACTGAGGCCTGGCATGGATAAATAAAGATTGTATGCCTATGTAAAAATGTATGGGGTCATAAGAGACAAGCCATCTTTCCCCATCTGCTGTAACAGCCTTAGGGAAAAAAGTCCAGTGGAATCCTGTACTGGTCCGTTTTCACACTGCTGATAAAGACATACCCAAGACTGGGTAATTTACACAGAAAAAGAGGTTTAATAGACTCACAGTTCCACGTGGCTGGGGAGGCCTCACAATCATGGCAGAAGGCAAAAGCCACGTCTTACATGGTGGCAGACAAGAGAGAATCCAAATCAAGCAAAAGGGGAAACCCCTTATAAAATCATAAGATGTGGTCCAGCATGGTGGCTCATGCCTGTAATCCCAGCACTTTGAGATGCCGAAGTGGGTGGATCACCTGAGGTCAGGAGTTGGAGACCAGCCTGGGCAACATGAAGAAACCCCATCTCTACTAAAAATACAAAAAATTAGCCGGGCATGCTGGCGGGCACCTGTAATCCCAGCTATTGGGAGACTGAGGCAGGAGAATTGCTTGAACCTTGGAGGCGGAGGTTGCAGTGAGCCGAGATAGTGTCACTGCAGTCCAGCCTGAGTGACAGAGTGAGACTGTCTCAAAAAAAAAAAAATTCATCAGATTTCTTGAGATTTATTCACTACCATGAGAACAGTATGGAGGAAACTGCCTTCATGATTTAATTATCTCCCACCTGAGGAATTATGGGAGCTACAATTCAAGATGAAATTTGGGTGGGGACACAGCCAAACCATATCAGATTCTTAAGGACTTGGGCAGGGAGAGGAGGTCTATGAGAGAGCTGAGCACCAACTCAGCTGCCACAGCTGACACCTTATTCAGATATCTTGAAGTTGACCTTGACCCTTCTGGGTCTTTTCATAAGAACAAAAGAGCTACTGAGAGTGCAGCCACCAGGCCAGCCAAGTCCTGGCTTAAGAAAGTTATCAGCATTATTGCATCCTTCTCCCTCCAAATCTTTCCTACAGAGAAATGCCTGGCCTTTGAGAATCTTCTACGGGGGGACCAGGGGTATGAAGTTAGTATTGATCAATGTTCTAACCTGCAGTTTTTCTCTTTTCTTTTTGTTCATGTGCTCCATCAGTAGATGTTTTCTTTCCTTCTTTTTTTTTTTTTTTAAGCCCGGGATTAAAGAGTGCTTCATTTGATTCAGCCACTTGGGTATATGAGGGAGAACTGAAACTGAATGGAAATTATTCACATGAGCCCCCAGGAGCTACCCAAATGTGTGGCAACTCAGGAATACCATAATGGAGGTGTGCAGAAAGTGCTCTGTGACAGCTCACCCTGCCCTGGTTATTTAAAAAGAAAGTTAGGTGTGATTTGAGCTATCAGTACAACAGGTAATTGGCAAAGTGTTGATGAAATAAACCTTCTCTCCTCATCTCTAATTACCCATAGCTCAAAGGAATTATTCTTTTCACAGCCAGACACAAAGAGCACTCTCTTCCTTGTAAAAGAGAGAGGGGCTGGGTACAGTGGCTCACACCTGTAATCCCAGCACTATGACCAAGGCAGGAGAATTACTTGAGCCCAGGATTTCAAGACCAGCCTGGGCAACATAGTGAGACCCCCATCTCTACAACAAAATTTTTAAATTAGCTGGACATGGTGGCATGCCTCTGTGGTCCCAGTTACTGGGAGGCTGAGGTGGGAGGATGGCTTGAACCCAGGAGGTTGAGGCTGCAGTGAGCCATGATTGCACCACTGTATTCCAACATGGGCAACGAGTGAAAGGCTATCTCAAAAAAGAAAAAAAGAGAGAGAGAGAGATTGAGGATTTGAAAATAAGACTTAGGAATATAGAGCTCACAAATGCTGGGATGAGACTCAGATCTCTGTCTCTGGTAATCAGTAGAGGGAAACGCATTCTGTGGATGTATAGATGTGATTGATGGAGCAGAACCCAAACTTACGTACATTTCCTACTTACTGTAATGACTACAGGTGGAGATCTAATTTAGACCTAGAGTTCTTCAATTCTTGGAAGAACCATTTAAGTTGCAAAAATGTAAGTCATGTAGCATCTACTGTCCTAAGAGAAAGGTCTACTATGACCTATTATCTTTGGCTTGACAAAATTGTCTTCCCAGGGAAAGGTGTAATCTACTTAAGGTTCTGGCCCATTGAAAGAATGGAGACCCATACCCCAGTCTTTCTCTGCAGTATTTAAAGTTAGGGAAACGGGCTGGGTGCAGTGTCTCATGCATGTAATCCCAGCACACTAGAAGGCATAGGCAGAAGGATGGCTTCAGCCCAGGAGTTTGAGACCAGCCTGGGGAAAATGGAATACTTTTTTTTTTTTTAATTAGCTGGGCATGGTGGCATGCACCTGTACTCCTAGCTACTCAGGAGGCTGAAGCAGGAGGATCACTTAAGCTCAGGCGTTCAAGGCTGCAGTGAACTTTGATGGCACCACTGCACTCCAGCCTGAGTAACAGAGCAAGACCTTGTCTCAAAATAAATAAATAAAAATAAAGTGAGTGAAACCTATGGATGGGGCCTGTTAGCTATGAAAAAAAAAAAAAACCCCACAAAACAAAACAACCACATAGCAATAAAGGGCTACAAGATCCATGAAGCAAAGTGACCATGAGCATTGAGAGAAACGAGACCAGCGAGGAGGCCACTGCTGTGAGTCAGAAGGGGAGACGTAGGCAGGAGTGGTCCTGTCCATGAAATGGCAGAACCTCATCTTGGGGCAGGAGCTGTCTGCCTGCGAGCATCCTAAGTGTAGCCACTGCCAGACAACAACAGTAGCGAAAAACAGAAGTCCCCATGGCAGCTGCAATGCTAGATCCCTGCCCTGGGAGCACAGAGGCCTGTTCTGAAGTAACCAACTCCAGGGAGATACTAAAATATTCTCCAGCCTCCACGTCCAAACCACCCATTAAGCATGGTGGGCTGGGAGCAGGAAATTCCAGGCCAAAGATTCCTGGCCACAGTGGGCACCATGGGACTGAGAGAGAGGAGAAGGTTAGAACCGCTCCAGCTTTTTTTTTTTTTTTTTTTTGAGACGGAGTTTTGCTTTTGTTGCCCAGGCTAGAGTGCAATGGCACGATCTTGGCTCACTGCAGCCTCTGCCTCCCAGGTTCAAGCGATTCTCCTGCCTCAGCCTCCCAAGTAGCTGGGATTACAGGCATGTGCCACCATGCCTGGCTAATTTTTGTTTTTTTTAGTTCAGACGGTCTGTCTGAAACCAAGGCTGAGAATCTGGAAGAGCAAGGGAAAATTCTAGGCTAGAAGTTCAGGAGAAAGGAACCATTGTCAGGTTGTGAAATACAGAATCAAAGCCAAACACAAGATGTCACACAGGAATAAACTGAAGAGCAAGCAGTGCAGAGCCAGGAATGAAATGGCCCTGACTTAATGGTCCAAATTCAAGGTGGCAAGTCAGAGCTAGGGCCCATTTAGGAAGTGTGAATGCCCGGGCAGGATGTAAAACAACAAGGCAGGCTGACCTGCGGGTGGTCATTCCAAGCCAGCATTTTTTATCCACACTCATCAGCTCAGTATTCTCTCCTTTACTCATCCAAAAATTAAGAAATTTTTGGCCAGGCATGGTGGCTCATGCCTGTAATCCGAGCACTTTGGGAGGCTGAAGCTGGTGGATCACTGGAGGTCAGGAGTTCCAGGCCAGCTTGACCAACATGGCAAAACCCCGTCTCTACTAAAAATACAAAAATTAGCCAGACGTGGTGGCAGGTACCTGTAATCCCAGCTAGGGGAATTGGTTGAACCCGGGAGGCAGAGGTTGCAGTGAGCTGAGATCATACCACTGTACTCCAGCCTGGGCGACAGAGCAAGACTCTGAAAAAATAAAATAAAAATAAAAATAAAATTCCAGTAATTGGAAAGTGGAACTAGAATTTTAGCTTCCTTGAAAACCCTGAACATTTAGCTTCCTATGAAACTCAAGCATGCTCAATCTCTTTCTCTTCCATTAGGCAAAAGGACTTGTAAGTATCATGCTCTTTCTCTTCGAAGAGCTGGAGAAATCAGAGGCTCTGAACCTCATGGAAGAACGCACAGGCAAACCAGGCAAAAGCTGGAGTTTCAACTGCAGTCAGCCGGCCTTCACTTTATCTTATGCTGCCTTTGCCCTCCAGAGAGGTTTTGTTCCCAAAAAATCTCCGAAAGGTAAAGCCATACACACATCATTTATTTTAACATTACCCAAATGGAGAGAAAGAGGAAGTGCAGAAGGCTAGCCGGGCCACCCTATGCTGATTTGAATGAGGGGGAAGTGTGGAAGCAAGAAAGCATCTGATGAAAAATGAGCGTGCAAAGCATTCGATCCAAAATCGCTTGCTAAACTCAAGTCTGAGGGGAGTTTTAGTTTGACTATTAGAGTCCTAGTAGCTGCTTTCCTATCCCCTATATATGCCAAAAGTTGGGGTGATGGCTGAGCCCAGTGCCTCCTTTGCCCAGCGACTCCCTCGCCCAGCACTTTGGGAGGTTGAAGTGAGCCCAGGAGTGGGAGGATTGCTTGAGCCCAGGAGTTCAAGACAAGCCTGGGCAACATAGTGAGACCCCATCTCTACAAAAACTAAAAAAATTAGCCAGGTGTGGTGGTGCGCACCTGTGGTCCTAGCTACTTGGGAGGCTGAGGTGAGAGGATTGCTTCAGCCCAGGAGGCTGAGGCTGCAGTGAGCTATGATCATGTCCCTGTACTCCAGCCTGGGCAACATAGTGAGACATTGCCTCAAAATAAATTAAAAACAATACAAATTAAAATGTAAAAAACCGAAGTTGGGGTGATGATATGCACTCCAATGTTGAAAGAATAAATAAAAGAATGACGGTACCAACCAATCAACAAAATTTGGAAAGTTGTGTAACATCATCAAAAGGATTATCTTAAGGTACAAGTTAAAAAGTGGCCTCCTGTCATATCATTTCAGGAAGTCAGAGACTACACACACACTCAGGAGGAGGAGCTGGAGAATGGCTTTCTAAAATGCCCATGCTGCCTAAGCTACTGGCTTACTAAAATTTCCATTACAAACTCTAAATGTCTCAGAGGTAGTTTTCCAACACCACCATCTTCATGGGCAGACCCATGGCGGCGATGCTGGAGGGGCGGATATGGTGACACATTGTAGACAGTGGAGGATGGGAGGATAGTGGCCTTTAAGTTTTGCATTTCTTAACATTTAAAGAGCAGTTCATTTTTGCACACTCTGAATATTTTCTCAAGAGCGGGTGTGGTTTCCCACAGTTTTGCTAAGGAGTTGCACACAGTCAAACACGCTATCTTTCATGTTACTTGTTTTTGAAAAATACAGTATTCTAAGAGTTTTCTCCTGAAATATATGTGAAAATCCTGGAGTCGTGTTTGATCTTTAAAAAGCAAACTTTAAACTTCTCCGAGTTTGCTTGTTCCAAACAATAAATAATTATGGAAAAACTAAGTGCAAGTTGAAACATGAAGCATAATTGTAGATGTTAAACAATCCAGTATACTCATTGAGAAAATAGGAAAAGATATACTTAGTTGTATGAAGAATTCACTTACAATTTCATCATGAATATTGGAAGCAATTTTAATTTTGAAATGGCAGTATTTCTGCACAACCGCATCCATAATCCATATGGTTAAAAAAACAAAAATATTTCCTAAGTTGTTCATTAATTATCATAGCCTTAAAACAATCTTTTTACTGAGGAAGGATTACATTTTTTATTAACTCTTTTTCTTTTTTTAGAGACAGAGTCTCACTCTGTCACCCAGGCTGGAGTATAGTGGTATGATCATAGCTCACTGCAGCCTCTAACTCCTGGGCTCAAGTAATCCTCCTGCCTCAGCCTTCCAAGTAGCTGAGATGACAGGCAAGTGCCATCAAGCCTGGCTAATTTTTTTTTTTTTTGAGGAGTCTCGCTCTGTTGCCCAGGCTGGAGTGCAGTGGCATGATCTTGGCTCACAGCAACCTCAGCCTCCCGGGTTCAAGTGATTCTGCTGCCTCAACCTCCTGAGTAGCTAAAATTACAGGCATGAGCCACCACACCAGGCTAATTTTTTTGTATTTTTAGTAGAGACGGGGTTTCATCATGTTAGCCAGTCTGGTCTCGAACTCCTGACCTCAAGTGATCCACCTGCCTCGGACTCCGAGAGTGTTGGGGTTACAGGTGTGAGCCACAGCGCCGGGTCCTGGCTAATTTTTTTAAGTTTTATTTTTGTAGAGACAAGGTCTTACTATGTTGCCCAGGCTGGTCTCAAACCCTGAGCTCAAGTGACCCTCCCACCTCAGCCTCCCAAAGCACTGGGATGACAGGCATGAGCCACCATGCCCAGTCTCTATTAACTTTTAAATGGTTGGTTAAAAGATCAGAACTATTGTTTGATTGATGTTATATGTTACAGGTTGGCAAGGTTATTTTCTTTTTTTTGTTTTTGTTTTTGTTTTTTTTTGAGACGGACTCTAACTCTGTCACCCAGGCTGGAGTGCAGTGGTGCGATCTCTGCTCACCGCAAGCTCCACCTCCCAGGTTCACGCCATTCTCCTGCCTCAGCCTCCGGAGTAGCTGTGACTACAGGCGCCCGCCATCACCCCCGGCTAATTTTTTTGTATTTTTAGTAGAGACGGGGTTTCACTCTGTTAGCCAGGATGGTCTCAATCTCCTGACCTCGTGATCCGCCCACCTCGGCCTCCCAATGTGCTGGGTTTACAGGCATAAGCCACCGCACCCACCCTGCAAGGTTATTTTCAATGCCATCTTTTGGTTCAGACCTTCCAAAGCTCTGTCAAAGCCCCAATTTTTCTTGAACTTTCATCCCATCCTAGACCACCATGCTGAAACTCAGACCTCAATCTCAGATCCTGGGTTTTCTGGCTGGAGTTGCCCTTCCTGCCTCTCCTTGCTACTCCTGGAACCCCAAAGCAAACCAGCCTCTTAGGGCTAGCTCACTTCCCATCCTTTCTGGACCCCCTTCCTCACCTCCTCACCAGCCCACTCCACATGGTGTGATATAATTTGTATCAATTGTATGTCCTGCCACTGGAACAAGGTTATCCTCCCAGTGGGCAAACCATGGTGTATTCTTTCTTTAATTCCCTGTAGGTGCCCAGCTATGACATCCAGCACTTCATTTGTTGATTCGAAGACCTGGGTTAAAATACCAGCTCTGCCATTTCATTCAAGATTCCCCTGAATTCACATTTATTGGACACTATGGTATGTCGAAACTGTGCTCTGATGAGGGAATGAAAAGCTGAATCAGGTGTGACTACTGCTTTCAAGGTGCTGCAGACTTTATTGTGTTTCCCCAAGTTCATATGTTGAAGCCATAACCTCCAGTGTGGCTGCATTGGCAGATAGGGCCTCTAAGTGGGTAGTGGAGGTTACATGTGTCATCGGGGTGCGGCCCTGAACCAAAAGGATTAGTGTTCTTATAAGAAGAGATGCCAGAAAGAAAACAAAAAGAAAAAGAAAAGAAGAAAAGACAGGCCAGGTGCAGTGGCTCTCACCTATAATCCCAGCACTTTGAGAAACTGAGGCAGGAGGATTGTTCAAACCCAGGAGTTTGAGACCAGCCTGGGCAATATAGTAAGACCCCATCTCTACAAAAACTTTTTAAGAAAGAAAGAAACTGGCTGGGCATGGTGGCTCATGCCTGTAATCCCAGCACTTTGGGAGGCCAAGGAGGGCAGATCACAACGTCAGGAGATCGAGACCATCCTGGCTAACACAGTGAAACCCCGTCTTTACTAAAAATACAAAAACAAAATTAGCCAAGCGTGGTGGTGCATGCCTGTAGTCCCAGCTACTCGGGAGGCTAAGGTGGGAGAATGGCGTGAACCCGGGAGGTGGAGCTTGCAGTGAGCTGAGATGGTGCCACTGCACTCCACCCTGGGTGACAGAGCAAGACTCTGTCAAAAAAAAAAAAAGAAAGAGAGAGAAAGAAAGAAGAAAGAGAAAGAGAAAGAAAAAGAAAGAGAGAAAGAGAAAGAAGAAAGAAAGAAGAAAGAAAAAGAAAGAAAGAAAGAAAAAAAAAAAGAAAGAAACAAAGAAAGACAAAGAAAGAAAGACAAAAGACACCAAAGCTAATTATTTCTCTCCAAGAACACATACAAAGGAAAGGTCTTGCAAGGCCATAGCGAGAAGGTGGCAGTCTGCAAGTCAGGAAGAGAGCCCTCATCAGAAACTGAATCCCTGCCTACAGAATGTGAGATATAAATGTCTATTGTTTAAGCTCCCTATCTGTGGTACCTCATCATGGCAGTCTAAGCTGACTGAGACACATGAAGATCAGAGCTTAGAAGTAGGAACAGGCGAGTTGGGTGGGGCAGGCTGTTTTGTTTGCAGGACGTGTCTCAGCTCACATCGGGTTGGTAGGTCTTCCTCTGCAGCTGTTGTGACCATGAAGCAAGCAGGCCCTCAGGAACCTGGCCTTACTGCCAGGCCTCACAGGGGGAGTCGAGGGACAGGATGGCCACTCTGTGTCCAGAACATGGGTAACAACTAGTGAACAGGTCGATGGGAGACTAGGGTGACAAGTGACTGGGAAGTCTGAAACTACTGAAGCCTGTGTGGGTCTACTGAAGGGATTTGACAGGGAGACGATATGGTCCCAGCCATGGAGAGGCCAGCCTGGGCTGCTCTGTGGTCCCCGAGACCCTGGCCTGAGGGTGCACCAGCCCCAGCATCAATCAGATCTCATGGTGTTTCTAGGATTCAAGGCCCTCATGGAGCCCCTGAAAGCAAGGCTCACTTTCCTAAGCTCTTCAAAGCTCAAGGAGCCAACGGCAGACCTGACACATCCTGCAATGCTCTCAGCATGGGCCTGCTTAGCCTGCTCCCTCCTCAGCCAGTTTGCCCCAGAAACTAAAAATAAAATTGACAACAGAGGAGCATTAAACAGCAAAATCTAGCTGAGGGAGGAGCAGAGGCTTTGAACAAGGACAACTGGCACACACCGTGGTCACCTCTGGTTGTCCCGTCCTCCCTGGGCGTTGGGAGTTTATGGATGGATATTCACTGGAGCGCCTGCTCTGCCAAGAGATAACTCAGCTTTCCTCTAAACCTCTGTGGTTTTATCTCTTTTGTTTGTTTACTATTTCTTCCTCCTCCCCTACATGAGAAACATCTCCCTGTATCTCCAGTTCAAATTCCCCAAAGCGAGAATCTAATTTGGTCTTCAGACCCTCTTTGAAGGGCTGCTGTCGTACAGGGCCATTGGATGGTCCTGCCAGCCTGCAAGCTGGCTGTCCTGGCTCCCAGGTAGTGACCTGTGGGCAGAGACCTTTTCCTGCAAGGGGGTGGTGAGAATCCAGGCACACTGGGGCAAGCCTGCCCTGCCTGTATTGGGCAGAATGTACTCAGCTGCTCGCAAGAGAATAGCCACATACAAGCCGTCTCTATTGCTGTGAGCTCATTTTCCATAGCAAGAAGCCTGCAGGTGGTTGGTCCTAGAACTCAGTGGCTCTGTGACCCCACAGAGGATATTTTTCCATCTGCCAAGTGGCTGGACAGTAGTTGCAGCAGTTCAATGAATACATCAAATCCAAAGATTTCCTTGATGCTCCCCTACCCCCACCCTCAGGAGATGTGTTGATGTCTCTTTGACAAAAGAGAGCCACAGTCCCACCTCTAGCTGCAAGAGAAGCTGGTGGAGTGAGAAGCTGGTGTATACAATGTCTACAGGGGTAAGTGGATTCTAATGACAAGGGAGATGATGGAACATTGTGTAGGCAAACGTCTGCCCTACGAAGTAAACAGTTAACTATAGCGTGGTACTGCAAGCGCTATAATAATTTGCTAAGACACTGATATGGTTTGGCTATGTCCCCAACCAAATCTCACCTTGAAGTGTAATAATCCCCATGTGTCAAGGGCAGGGCCAGGTGGAGATAATTGAATCATAGGGGGCGGTTTCCCCATACTGTTCTCATGGTAGTGAATAACTCTCACGAGATCTGATGCTTTTATAAAGGGGAGTTCCCCTGCCCAAGCTCTCTTGCCTGCCTTCATGTAAGACGTGACTTTGCTCCTCATTCGCCTTCAGCCATGAACGTGAGGCCTCCCCAGCCATGTGGATGTGAGTTCATTAAACCTTTTTCCTTTATAAATTATGCAGTCTCGGGTATGTCTTTATTAACAGTGTGAGAACAGACTGATACAGACACTTTTTGGGATAAGTCACATAACCTCTTCGAGGCTCAGATTCCTAAAATGAAAAATGAAAATGATAGTACTTACATCACAGAGGTGTTGTACAGATTAATATGAAATAATGTATAAGAAAGTCTCTATTTCAATACTTAATAGGTAATAAACGCACCTTGGCTCCTTCCTCCCCATCAACTACAGGGTAAATGTGCAATAAATACTTGCTAACCAAATAAACATTGCTTATCTGGAACATTATCCTCTTGAATTTTGTTGGCGATTTGTAAAAAGAAAGAAAATCAAGTCGGCATGCAAAGTAAAAGTAAACATGAAAAATTCAAAGGCTGGCAGGCTAGGAATTAATTTAAAATGCAATCATGCTTCATTGTATTTCAAAGAAAGCTAAATAACTACATTGAAGCCTCTAACACATTTTCCCTTGATAGACTGATTATCCATTGTTTCCCTCCCTCAGATAGAACCCTTGGAATAATTTGCCATTTCTTCCTGCAACTGGCTCAGCTACACTCTTGATTTTCGGTTTGGTTTTGATTTAGTTTTTTTCCTCCACTGGAAAGTCCCCAGGATAATCTGGATTTATTTCTCATCTGAAATAAAACACATTAACTGGCAGTATTCCCTTCGTACTCCCTTCCTTACGAATGGTTCAAAACACTGTCATTAAAATCCATTGCTCTCACCTGCATCTTTGACAACATAATCAATGGATGCTTCCACGGTAGAGTCAATGTAGTCACATTTGATTTCGAGACTCTTTATCAAATTAGCCCTGATTATATCACCTCCCAGTTCCATTTAGGGATCCTTTCCCTGCCAATTATGCAAAAAGACATTTGGTTTCCTTCTTTCTCCTGCAAGTTGTCATCAGAGGCGCCTGCGACTCTATCCAAGATCCAAGAATTCTTCCTTTAATTCAGAATTCATCTCACAGCCCACTTCCTCCAGAAAACTTGCACCAGCAATGGTGTGAAGTCCTATCTGTCCCACAAAACAAGACCATCTGAACACTTGGCCTTCAATAGTCTGAAAAACCAAGAGACAGCGATAAACCTTTTTCTCTGGAATGTAAACTCTTTCATGCTTGGTGTGATGCAAGAGTGTAGTAATTTTACACATCTACCATAGCCGGTACTAAAAATTCACTCCAGTCATAAATCTTCAATCTGCCACCCAGTGCCAAGCCCACACCCACCTTCAGTTCTGGAGTTTCCAATGGCTTATGGGACCTCCCCATACTCTAGGGCTTCTGGTTCCTCCAGAGTCAAGATGGTTAGGGAAGAGGGATTCATGAAAATGATATAACTGTTTTGTCTCTCTCTCTCTCTTTTTTTTTTTTTAAACAAGCTCTGACTCTTTCATCTAGGCTGGAGTGTAGTGACACATGGCTCACTGCAGCCTTAACCTCCTGGGTTGAAGCAATCCTCCTGCCTCAGCCTCCTGAGTAGCTGAAACTATAGCTGCATGCCACCATGCCCAACTAATATCTTAATTTTTTTTTGTAGAGCCAGAGTTTTGCCATGTTGCCCAGGCTGGTCTTGAACTCCTGGGCGCGAACAATCCACCTACCTCAGCCTCCTAAAGTGCTGGGATTACAGGCATGAGCTGCCATACCCAGCCACTTTTTTTTTTATTTAGAGACAGAGCCTTGCTCTGTCACCCCTCATCCCCCAGGCTGGAGTGCAGTGGCATGATCATGGTTCACTGCAGCCTTCAACTCCTGGCCTCAAGAGATCCTTCTGCCTTAGCCTCCCAAGTAGCTGGAACTACAGGCACATGCCACCATACCCACTAATTTTTTTTATTTTTTTTATTTTTTGTAGAGACAATGTCTTGCTATGTTGCCCTGGCTGGTCTTGAACTCCTAGCCTCCCGAAGTGCTAGGATTATAGGCATGAGCCACTGCACCTGACCAGTATAACTTGTTTTACTGAGTCAGTGCAGATGTAATCTTCGCTGTTATCCATGCCTTGCTGTATGGCAGGCATCCAAATATTGGTTCTCTGATGGAGCTTTTGCACAAGTCTTTGGATGGCCCAAAAGTTCCCTGGCTGAATGATGTGCTCTGACTTGTAATCTTTTCTGCAAGTCCCTACACCTGGTCATAGACTCTACACTTCTTCCTACTGGACTTCCTCCTGCCTTCTTGAGGAGGATACCAGCAAGACAACTCAAGCTCAGCCACCTTTCCTGGTCTCTGCTTGCCTCTTGGGACACTCACACAACTCTGATTGCTCCAGCAAGCCTTTCATTCCAAAATTACCCAGGCAAGAAGCAAGGACCAGTCTCTATTTGCTCATCTATTCCCAGGCTTCTGAAGAAATAGATCTGGCTTTCTCAGGAACTCTTTCACTGAGTTCTGCAACAACATGGGAGCTCGTGTGGACCCATGAGTTTCTGCATCTTAGCAAGTGTCTAGATCAGGACTAAGATGTCAGTCCTTTCCCTTCTCGCCAGCATCTTGAGTCTCTAAGGTTCTCTTGAAGCTCCACACATGTGGCTTCAAGGGAAGGAAAGGAGTAGCTCTCACCTTGAACCTGAGTGATTTTCTAATGCCTGGACTTCTATTATTGTAAGATGGGGAGAAGGAGAGGGGACTATTGGTCAATGAACTGCTCCTGCCAGCTCATAGGTGGTCCTTTAAATATGGGGATTTAGCACCTCTTATTCTCAGCTTTAGGGCTGCAGCCTCATTTTGGAGACAACATGAAATGTCCCATTGACATTCTGTTAAACAATGTTGTAATGAGTGTCCTTGCACGTCTATCTTTGTGAGCCTTTGAGAGTATGGCCAAAGGGTGACTTACTCATAGACGTTGCTAAATTGTTTTCCAGGAAGGTTGCACCAGTTTGCACTTCCAGAACACTGCAGGAGCACATCCATTTCCCGACATTCTCCCCAAGCCCAGCTAGACATTCCTCAACCTAGAGCTCTGGTTGGAAAGACCAACTCACTCGGTCAAAAGGCCAGATGAATGCACCATTCTAGACATTTAAAAGTGTCAAATACCAAGCTTTTCTGGCGACAGGGTGGAGGAAGGAGGGAGGATGGAAGAGAGAAGACAAGGAAAGGGAAAGGGAGGGAAGAGAAGAATTATTTTCAGAATCCATTGCCGGCTATTGTACTTTATCTCGAATTGCCTCATGGGGGCCAGGCCCGGTGGCTCACACCTGTAATCCCAGCACTTTGGGAGGCTGAGGTAGGCGGATCACTTGAGGTCACGAGTTCAAGAACAGGCTGGCCAATAAGATGAAACCCCATCTCTACTAAAAATACAAAAGCTGACATGGTGGTGGGCGCCTGTAATCCCGGCTGCTGGGGAGGCTGAGACAGAAGAATCACTTGAACCCGGGAGGCAGAGGCTGTAGTGAGCCGAGATCATGCCACTGCACTCTAGTCTGGGGGACAGAACGAGACTACATCTCAAAAAAAAAAAAAGAAAAGAAAATTGCTTTGAATTGTCTCGTGGCCAGGATGAGACGGAGGCAGGAGGTGAAGGTTTGTGCAGTTGGGCTCGTAGAAGTGAGCTCGTGCCGTGCTGTTAACTATGGTGAAACTGAGCCTCCTAATCTTTTTTTTTTTTTTTTTTTTTGACACAGAGTCTTGCTCTGTCACCCAGGCTGGAGTGCAGTGGTGCGATCTCGGCTCACTGCAAGCTCTGCCTCCTGGGTTCGCGCCATCTTCCTGCCTCAGCCTCCCAAATAGCTGGGACTACAGATGCACGCCACCACGCCCGGCTAATTTTTTGTATTTTTTTAGTAGAGACGGGGTTTCACCGTGTTAGCCAGGATGGTCTCGATTTCCTGACCTTGTGATCCTCCTGCCTCGGCCTCCCAAAGTGCTGGGATTACAGGCAAGAGCCACTGCGCCCGGCCAAGCCTCCTAATCTTACCTCCAGTGATGCTACTTAGCAGCAGAGGTGTTGCTGACACACCGGCAAGCAGCAGAGGGTTGTCTCTACACAACACTCTCATCCTACACAACACTGTTGTCCACCCAGAGAAAGGCCCTCTTTTTTTTTTTTTTTTTTTTTTCAGTTGAGAGAGAGTCTCTCTCACCGAGGCTGGAGTGCAGTGGTGTGATCTCTGCTCACTGCAACCTCCGCCTCCCAGGTTCAAGCGATTCTCCTGCCTCAGCCTCCCAAGTAGCTGGGATTACAGGCACCTGCCACCACACCTGGCTAATTTTTGTATTTTCAGTAGAGACGGGGTTTCACCATGTTGGCGAGGCTGCTCTCGAACTCCTGACCTCAGGTGATCTGCCCACCTCGGCTTCCCAAAGTGCTGGGATTACAGGCGTGAGCCACTGTGCCCAGCTGAAAGGCCCTCTTTGAACAGAATATGTGTCCAGAATTAGTCAACGTGGGATCTCTGACATCCTCCAAGACCCCCAGGGCATTGCCCTGACTCCATAACTGCTCATTCACAGTGTCGTGTGTCCTCATCCGCTGACCAGGTTCCGGTTCTCCAGAAGCACTTCTTCTCCAAACCAGCAGCAGCAGTATCTGTGAGGGAAATTTGTGTCTATCTTTTATTTTTCTTTCTGTTTTTTTCCCCCTTTTAAAACTCAAGTCACTCAAAGGGACTGTGACAACTCAGTATATTTGAACTTCTCCAGATAGTCAGACTAAACACTATGAAATTCACTGTGTATTCAAGATTAAGAGCCACTGGACTTGGGGGACACTTTTTCTGTCACTGCCTTTGTTAGCCAATGCCACTCCCGTAGATCCACAGGCCCCAGATAACAAACGTGGGGGCTGCAGACAGGACGTGGGGCTGGTGGAGACAGCGAGGTGCTGGCAGTCAGGATCCCAGGGTCTGGATCTGACTCCCCAAAGATGTGTCTGTTTTTATCTTAGGAAAGGGGCGTAACTCCCCGCAAGCTTAACAGCATAATTATATACAATTTAATTATTAAAGTAATAATATGAAATTATTTATCGTATTGTTACAGAATATATGTAACATACAATAATGTAATATATAATTTATATATAATTTTTTTTTGAGATGGAGTTTTGCTCTTGTCACCCAGGCTGGAGCACAATGGCATGATCTCGGCTCACTGTAACCTCTATCTCCCAGGTTCAAGCAATTCTTCTGCCTCAGCCTCCCAAGTAGCTGGGATTATGGACGCGTACTGCCATGCCCAGCTACTTTTTGTATTTTTAGTAGAGATGGGGTTTTGCCATGTTGGCCAGGCTAGCCTCGAACTCCTAAGCTCAGGTGATCCACCTGCCTCAGCCTCCCAAAGTGCTGGGATTACAGGTGTGAGCCACTGCGCCCAGCTATAATATAATAATTATATATACTGTACAAAATAATAATCTTATTGGCAAGGAGTTCTTAATAACATCAAAAAGAATATTTTCTTTCTTTTTTTAAAAAAAAAATTTTTTTTTTTTTGAGACAGAGTCTCACTCTGTCTCCCAGTCTGGAGTGCAGTGGCGCGATCTCGGCTCACTGCAACCTCCGCCTCCTTGGTTCAAGCAATTCTTCTGCCTTAGCCTCCCGAGTAGCTGGGATTACAGGCGTGCACGACCACAGCTGCTAATTTTTGAATTTTTGGTAGAGATGGGGTTTTACCATCTTGGCCAGGCTGGTCTTGAACTCCTCACCTCGTGATCCACCTGCCTCAGCCTCCCAAAGTGCTGGGATTACAGGTGTGAGCCACCGCACCTGGCCTCAAAAAGAACATTTTCTTAGAACACTTTAGACAGTAGTGAGCAAGGCCGAATGCAGTGGCTCATGCCTATAACCCCAGCACTTTGGGAGGCCAAGGCTGGAGGATTGCTTGAGGCCAGGAGTCTTTGACCAGCCTGGGCAACACAGCGAGACCCCATGCCTACAAAGAAATTTTTTTGTTTAATTAGCTGCTTACCTGTAGTCCTAGCTACTGGGAAGGCTAAGGTGGGAGGATGGCTTAAGCCCAGGAGTTCAAGGTTACAGTGAGCTATTATTACACCACTGCACTCCAGCCTGGGCAACAGAGCAAGAACCTATCTCAAAAAAAAAAAAAAAAGTACTGAGCAAAATAAGAGAAGCCTGTAGGCTTTAGGGATACACAGACCTGGGTTTCTATTTTGTTTAAGGCATTTGTTTAGTAAGTTTGGATAAATTATTTAACCTCTCTCGCGCTGTTTTCGCCTTGAAAAATGAGAAGAGTAAACTTTTCAGACCATTTAGGGATGAAAAATCAAGGTTTAAGGTTTCTGTTATGCAAGATGAGTAAGTGCTAAAGACCTGCTGTACAAGACTGTGCTTATAGTTAATAACACTGTAATGTGTATGCACTTTAAAATCTATTAAGATGCCAGGTGTGGTGGCTCATGCCTGTAATCCCAACACTTTGGGAGACCAAGATGGGAGGATTGCTTGAGCCCAGGAGTTTGAGACCAGCCTGGGCAACGTAGTAAGACCCCCATTTACAAAAAATTAAAAATAAAAAAATTAGCCAGGCATGGTGGTGCATGCCTGTAGTCCCAGCTACTGGGGAGTTGAGGTGGGAGGATCACTTGAGCCTGGGAGGTCAAGGCTGCAGTGGGCCGTAATCATGCCACTATGCTCTAGACTGTGCAGCAAGTGAGACGCTGTCTTAAAAAAAAATTAATTAAAATAATAAACAAGGCCAGGCACGGTGGCCCACACCTGTAATCCCAATATTTTGGGAAGCTGAGGCGGGCAGATCATTTGAGGTTAGGAATTCGAGACCAACCTGGCCAACATGGCGAAACCCTGTCTCCACTAAAAATACAAAAATTAGCTGGGCGTAGTGGTGTGCGCCTGTGATTCAGCTGCTTGGGAGGCTGAGGCAGGAGAATCGCTTGAAGCTGGGAGGGAGAGGTTGCAGTGAGTCGAAATCCTGCCACTGCACTCCAGCCTGAGCTACAGAGTGAGACTCTGTCTCAAAAATAATAATAATAATAATAATTAAATAATATATATTAAGAGGGAGAATTTTTAAAATAATATGTGTAAAACAGATGTCTAATATACCAGGGGACTTTATTAAACAGTAGTTATTATTGTTAAAAATGGAAAAACTAGATATAAAAATCACCTTTTTTTTGTTTGTTTCACTTACCTTTCAGTGAGAGCAATGCCAAGTTTAGCAAATAGTTCCAATTTTGCAAGGATTTTTTGCTGTGACCTGAGACCAGAGAACTGCCGCTTGTTCTAGATTTTGCGAGTGGCTGGTTTGGCTGTAGATCAGATGGAACTACCCTTCCCAAATTACAGTTTCCCTTCTTCTGGCTTTTTATTCCTGAAGCTTGGTTTCTAGGGAGAGCTTCCTGCTGGAACTTTGACCTTTAGGAAGCTGAACCTAGTGAAGTGTGGATTTGCAGCTCAGCACTCCTGAACATTTGTTAACCTGAATTGATCAAGTTCAGGCAAAGTAGTAGTTTATTTTTTCATTAATGAGTTTAGGGTTTGCGTGGTTGATTTTTTACATTTTTTGGATTTTTCCCTTAATATTTTATGAGGAAAATTTTCTTTATTTCCTTTAATTTTTAATTTCTGTGGGCACATAGTAGGTACATATATTTATGGGTTACATGAGATATTTTGATACAGACATACAACGTGTAATAATCACATCAGCCTAAAAGGGGTACCCATCTCCTCAAGCATTTATCCTTTAGGTTACAATCGAATTATACTCTTTTAGGTATTTTTAAATGTACAATTAAATTATTGACTATAGTCACCTGTTGTGCTAGTAAATACTAGTCTTATTCCTTCTGACTATATTTTGTATCCATTAACCATCCCCTCTTTCCCCCCACTCCTCCCACCCTTCCCAGTCTCTGGTAACCATCCTTCTACTCTCTGTCTCTATGAGTCCAATTGTTTTGATTTTTAGATCCCACAAATAGATGAGAACATGCGAAGTTTGTCTTTCTGTGCCTGGCATATTTCACTTAACATAATGACCTCTAGTTCCATCCACGTTATTGCAAATGACTGGATCTCATTCTTTTTTCTGGCTGAATAGTACTCCATCATGTATATACACCACATTTTCTTTATCCATTCATCGGTTGATGGGCACTTAGTTTACTTCGAAATCTTGGCTATTGTGTTGCAATAAACATGGGAGTGCCGCTATCTCTTTGATATACTGATTTCCTTTCTTTGGGGTATATACTCAGCAGTGGAATTGCTGGATCGCATAGTGGGTCTATTTTTAGTTTTTTGAGGAACTTCCAAACTGTTCTCCATAGTGGCTATACTAATTTACATTTCCACCAACAGTGTACAAGTGTTCCCTTTTCTCCACATCCTCACCAGCATTTCTTATTGCCTGACTTTTGGATAAAAGCCTTTTTTTTTTTTGGAGACGGAGTCTCACTCTGTTGCCCAGGCTGCAGTGCAGTGGCGCGATATCGGCTCACTGCAACCTGCGCCTCCCGGGTTCAAGTGATTCTCCTGTCCTCATCCTCCCTAGTAGCTGGGACTACAGGCATGCACCACCACACCCAGCAAATTTTTTATTTTTATTTTTTGTAGAGGTGAGGTCTCACCACATTGCCCAAGCTGGTCTCAAACACCTGGGTTCAAGCAATCCTCCTGCCTCAGCCTCCCAGTGTGCTGGGATGACAGGCATGAGCCACTGCACCTGGCTTTTTTTGCTTTTTAGTCAGGTTTGCTTCTCTCTTTAACTGCCACATATTTTGTTGTTGAAGGAGTGTGAACAACTGTGTGCTCACATATAATTCCTGGAAGAAATCTCTGTTTTCAGAAGAAACAAGTAAAACTATCTCTCCATCCTATCGCTTTACTTTGAGTTTTTATGAAAATCTATGGTAAGGAGAAATTGTGTCTGAATACTTCTGCAACTAGACTATTAAAAGGTCCTGAGCCAGGTGCAGTGGCTCACACCTATAATTCTAGCACTTTGGGAGCCAAGGTGGGAGGATTGCTTGAACCCAGGAGTTTCAGACCAGCCTGAGCAACATAGACCCTGTCTCTATAAAGTATTAATAATTTTTAAAATTAGCTGGATGTGGTGGTGCATGCCTGTAGTTTCAGCTGCTCCGGAGGAGGCTGAGGCAGAAGGATCGCTCGAGCACAGGAGGTAGAGACTGCAGTGAGCCATGATCACGCCACTGCATGCCAGCCTGGGTGACAGAGTGAGACCCTGTCTCAAAAAAAAAAAAAAAAATGGCCTGGAGGATATCATGTTAAGTGAAATAAAGCAGGCACAGGAGGATAAATTCTTCATGTTCTTACTCATGTGGAAGCTAAAAAAATTGATCTCATAAAGGTCAAGAGTAGAGCAGTGGTTACTAGAGCTAGGAAGGGAAGTGGGGAGGGGGACTAGAGAGGCTGGTTAATGAATACACAATCGTAGTTGGATAGGGGGAATAAATTCTGGTGTTCTATAGCACTATAGGCAGATAATAGTTAACAATTTATTGTATATTTTCAAATAGCTAGAAGAGAAGGTTTTGAATGTTTCCAATGCAAAGAAAGGACAAATGTTTGCGGTGATTTTTTTGGCTAATTACTCTGATTTGATCATTATACATTGTATGTATATATGGAAATATCACACCACAGCCCATACATTCCATGGGCTATATTATTAGGTGCCCACTAAAAGCAACTTTAGGTTGAGGCGGAAAGATTTCTTGGGCCCAGGAGTTCGAGGCTGCAGTAAGCTGTGATTCTGCCACTAAACTCTAGCCTGGGCAACAGAGCAAGACCCTGTCTCAAAAGAGATATAATTTTAATTTAAAAAAAAAAAAAAACAGCTAAGGCTGGGCTCCATGGCTCATGCCTGTAATCCCAGCACTTTGGGAGGCCGAGGCAGGCAGATCACTTGAGGTCAGGAGTTTGAGACCAGCCTGGTCAACATGGTAAAACCCTGTCTCTACCAAAAAATACAAAAATTAGCCAGGTGTGGTGGCACATGCCTGTAGTCCCACATACTCAGGAGGGTAAGGTGGGAGAACTGCTTGAACCTGGGACCAGAGATTGCAGTGAGCTGAGATCGCGCCACTGCACTCCAGCCTGGGTAACAGAGTGAGACCCCATCTCAAATAATAAAAATAAAATTAAATTTAAAAACAGCTTTAGAAAGATATTGGGCTGGCAAACAGGGAAAAAAGGGGTGTCATAGATTCATTCATTCGTTCTATAGCTCTTATGAAGTGTCCTCTTTGTTACAGGCACTGTTTGGGTGATGGAGATACAGAGAGAAGCACATGACGTATGATTCTTCAGGAGCTGCTGGGCTAGTGCTGGGATGATGGCAAACATATAAACCCTCGGCAGGGGAGGCAACATGGGAGCTGTGTCCTTGGTGATGGCAGGTAGTAAGGAAAGGGCATTCAAGGGCCTGGTGCCTCCAGAGACGAGGAAGGGAGCCCGGGGCATATGGAGGGCCTGGAGAGGCTCAGGTCAGAGCTAAGACCAGAGGTACAGTGAGGCTATGGTGTGGAAGGGACTTGAACACCAACCTAGGGGGATTTGACTTGATGCAGAAGGCAACTGGGAGCCACATTGTTTCTAAGTCAGGGGATGAACATGCTCCGATTGCTATGGAAGAATTTTCCAAGCAGCGCTATTGAAAAGAGTGATGGAGCCTGGATGCAGGGAGACATGGCATCTGGAGGCTGCTGCAGCCCTTGGTGTGTATACAGCTGGCGCTCACCTCTTCCCCTTCTTTGTTTCCTCCTCCCTTTCCTGATTTTCCTCTATCTCTTTCCTCTTCTTTACCTACTGCCCTCACTTTCTTCATCAGTTACTTTCTCCTCCATCCTTTCTTCCTGAAAGGGCCAGAAGCTCTAATTGTGGACAGGCTAGAACAGATCCTTTTGCCTCCTTTAGTATTTCTACTTCGAGTAAAAATGTCTGATGAGACAGTGTACTTCTGTAATATATCATCCTTATCAATAAAATAACTAATGAAGTTTGGCAATAAACTATCCAGTGATATACTCGTGGGGAAAACCTGAACACATTTAAGGAGTTTGGCAAGCAGTGCAGTTTCAAGGTGACCCTATTTATAGAATGGAGGCACCTTCCACCTCCTAAATGAACACATACTTCCATCTGCTGTGGCATTGTTCGGCTTCCTCTAGAATTTTCCTTGGCATCACCCGCAAGCCCCAACTTGTCCTACAGGGACAAGACACAGACTCACCAACTGTGAAGTTCTGAAATGCAGCTGATCTGCAATACTCACTGTGGCACCAACCTGCTGGTTTGAACAAGTATGAAAACCTTTTAGCAGAATACCAAGCAATAGGAGGTGCAAATTACCCTCACAGTGACCACGAGAAAAGCTTCTCCAACGCACAGTTGCAAATGGTGCAGGGTAGTTACCGGGTTCCTCAAAAATTAAAAAGAAACGGAGTCACTTAAAAAATAAAATAAAATCCAGCCAGACTCTAAAGCAAACCAGCTAGCAAGAATAGCTAGTGTATTGCAAAAGTAATGGGCTTTGCTTTTGTGAACCCAGAATGGAAAGTGCAAACTAATGGTTTGGCATAAGTCTTTTTCAGACATACCCAGATATACAGATAGTGATCGTGATAGTAAAAAAAGGAGTGTCTTTAAGATTTTTTTTCTTTTTTTCTTTTTTTTTTTTTTTTTTGAGACAGAGTCTTGCTCTGTCACCCAGGCTGGGGTGCAGTGGCGCCATCTCGGCTCACTGCAAGCTCCACCTCCTGAGTTCACGCCATTCTGCCTCAGCCTCCTGAGTAGCTGGGACTACAGGCACCCGCCACCACACCCGGCTAATTTTTTGTGTTTTTAGTAGAGACAGGGTTTCACCGTGTTAGCCAGGATGGTCTCAATCTCCTGACCTCCTTATGCGCCCGCCTCGGCCTCCCAAAGTGCTGGGATTACAGGCGTGAGCCACCGCGCCCGGCCTAAGGATTTCTTTTGGTCTTTGTTTTTCTGTAAGTTGGTTAGTTATTACTGCATAATAAAGCACTCCAGGCCGGGCGCAGTGGCTCACGCCTGTAATCCCAGCACTTTGGGAGGCTGAGGCGGGCGAATCACTTGAGGTCAGGAGTTTAAGACCAGCCTGGCCAATATGGCAAAACCCCGTCTCTACTAAAAATACAAAAATTAGCCCAGCATGGTGGCGGGCGCCTGTAATCCCAGCTACTTGGGGGGCTGAGACAGGAGAATCGCTTGAACCCAGGAGGCGGAGGTTGCAGTGAGCTGAGATTGTGCCATTGCACTCCAGCCTGGGCAACAAGAGTGAAGCTCCGTCTCAAAAAAAAAAAAATGGTTAGGATAGTACGTTTTATGTTGTATGTATTTTTCCAAAATTAAAAAAGAAGTTAAAACAATTTAAATGAAACAAGACCAATTGTACAACTATAATCTTACATCTGTAGTAGGAGTGGGCCAGGCAGAATAGAAAATTCCCAAAGGCCTTTTAAAATACACTGGCAAGATACTACTTAGCCCAGGGCCTGGTGGCTAGGCTGGTTCTCTCCTTTCCAATTGGAGGCCTCTGCCGCAGACACGCTCCACCAGATCATCGGTCAGGCCAAGAAGCATCCAAACTTGATCTCCCTCTTAGTATTTATTGGAGCTAGAGGTACTGGAGCAGGACTGTATCTCTTGCGTCTGGCATTTTTCAATCCAGATGTTAGTTGGGACTGAAAGAATCACCCAGATCCCTGGAACAAACTGGGTCCCGATGATCAATTCAAGTTCTACTCAATTAATGTGGATCACAGCAAACTGAAGAAAGAAGGTCCAGATTTCTAAATGAAATGTTTCACTATAAAGCTGCTTTAGACTGAAGGTCTTCCAGAATCCGTCCGCACAATTTTCCACTTCACCAGGAAATAGTTCTCCTCTAAATGAATGAAATCATGTTGATGTAATCTATTGGAGATTACACTGATTAATAAATAACTGAAACTTGAAAAAATAATACACTGGCAGCCATTTCACAGTGCTCCCATCCACCAAATAAACTTTAGATCTAAGATGCTGGAAGTTGCCACTTGGTTCCAATTCTCCAAATTCTGAAATTAAGCCAGGGAAATAAGTAAAAATATTTAGAAACATAGTGTTTCTATACGGGACAGTAGGATTTAGGAAGCCCCAGGGTCATCTGTAAACTTTTCCTTCCTTCCAAAGATTAATGCTGTAAAACATTTGTATTATATAATACTTCAATCCAGTACTGTACCGATGTACTTCAATCCAGTACTGTACCAACTTGTTTCCATTCTGGGGAACAGATGTTCCCTGTTTGTCATTGTTTTCTAGTGTTTCACTGGTTTTTGATGCCCTCATTTTATTTTTCCAGGATTATTTGTTTTCTTATTCTTTTTTAGAGCAGTTCTTAGTCAAAACTTCTTGAAAATTCAGATAAATATATGACTGCTGAGTTTCCTTTGCCTTAAGTTTTAAAAACTCTTTTAGAGAACCCTTCTGGCAGGTTAGAGTGGATGATTTGATTGATAGGCTTGCTCCTGGCCAGTTTCCTGTTGGTTACCCGAGCGGGCTGCGGGTTCTCCAACAATCCATGTTCACAGAGATGAGCTGCAGGAACCTCACTCATCTGTATTTGCTTCTATCCTAAAGTTTCACAGAGGTGACATGTGACATTTTGCCTCAGAAATAGTTGCCGTTGTTAAAGGCAATATTGTATTTCCTTTTGTGTTTTGACCCCATTTGCCCTTCTTACAGAATTTTAGTTGTCTCAATGCCAAACAGCTGACGGGCTTTGAAATCGCTCTGCAGTTTTCATCTTTTGATACTTCTAGCTCATTGCGTTTTAAAAACATAGTCTCCCTTGGGGAAAAAAGCCATAAAATGCTCCTAGTATCTTCTGCAAAAAAAGGACCCACACCAAAAAATTCAGGTGGCTCTTTAAAGTCTCATTTTCCTCACTGAGCGGGTTCTGATGATTATCTTTGCAAAACCACTGCGGAGACTTCCGGTGGCCTAGCAGCACATTTGAACAAGATCATCTCAGCAAAGCAAAGGACAGGACTGCTCTGTACAGAATGCAGTAGCAAATAAGAGAGGCTGAACTTCACCGGTCTTCTATTTGGCAGTACTACAGAATGCCTCCCTTCCCTCTTCTGAGAGAGACAGCGGACAATTTCAGCACAGAAGGCCGTGCACGTTTGCTTGGAAATCTAGGTCATGACCTTGACTTTGGGAAAGCCAGGGTAGCCTACCTGAAACTGTCCAATCCCCCAGCATCGTGGACACGTCCCCAAGTCCCTCAAGATGTCTGTTCTGGTCTGAGCCGTCCGTAGTAGTGTCCAGGGAAAGCAGGGGTAGCTCAAAAATTTCTGTCAAGAGTTTTAGTGCTGCAAGCCTGGTTGGGACAGGGCGGTGGAGGGCTGGAAATACTGTTTTTGACTTTGAATTTGATTTTATAATGTATTAGATGGATAGATAGATGCGAAATGGAATTGTTAACATGTATGTGGAGGGGCGGGAAGAGTTTCTGGAAAGCCCCATCCCTGAGTGCCTACTCCTGAGTGGGAAAAACCCCTGCACGGGCTGGGAGCGCTCCCTAATTCGTCCAGAAGTAAAATCGCATGGCCTGTGTTCCAAAAATGCCGCCACTCAGGATGTCAAGTCTGCACGTTTGCAGCTTTGAGAGCCGAGCCCCAGGCAGAGGCACCGCGCAGGCCTGGATGTACAGGACTCGGCCCTGTGCAGGGCTGGCCAGGGTGAGCAGGGTTGGAGCTGGCGGGGCGGGGAGGGGCGGGGCCATCTGGGAGGGGCTGCGGCGGTGGGCGGGGTTAGAGGGCGGGTTTGAAGCCGGCAGGGTGGGGAAAGGCGGGGCTGGAGGGGAGGGGTCTCAGAGGCGGGCGGGGTTAGAGAGCTGGATTGAAGCCGGCGGGACGGGGAGAGGCGGGGCTTGGTGGGGAGGGACGAAGAGGTGGGCGGGGTTCAAGCCCGTGGGGCAGGGCGGGGCCGGCGGGCAGGGCGGGGCCGGCGGGCTGGGCGCGGACGGTGAGGGGCGGGGATGGAGGGCGGGGCGGGACGGAGGGCGGGGAGGGGGCGGGACGGAGGGCGGGACGGGGCGCGGGCGGGGCGGGGCGGGGCGTAGCGCCCGGGCTCCGACTCCAAGCAGTACGGCGGGAGGCACTAGAGGGAGCTGCGGCCGCTCCGGCCCGGCCCCGAGCACCGCCTCCCCAGCCAGCGCCGCCGCGATGGCGGAGGACAGCGAGTCTGCGGCCAGCCAGCAGAGCCTGGAACTGGACGACCAGGACACGTGCGGGATAGACGGGGACAATGAGGAGGAGACGGAGCACGCCAAAGGGTAGGGGCGGCGCGCTGGCGCACCGGGCGCGACAGGGCGGGGACCGCGCGCGCCACGGTCTCCCGTTCGGGGGTGGCTCCCAGGACTGGGGGTTCTTCGGCCGCTCCGCCCCGCGATGGCTTCTCCGTGGCGCGGAGCCCATGGTGAGGTCCGGGGCGCGCGGCTCGCGGGAGAGTGCAGTGCGCGGGGAGGCGAGGCCCGGGGTGGGCGGGGAGGCTGGGGCCCGGGCGGGGAGACGCTACTGTCACTTGCCGCGCGCCCCCGGCCAGCCTCGCCCATCCCCGCCGGCGGCCTGGCCCAGGAGGCGCCTGTTGCCCTCGCCCGCGGGTGGCTCCGGTGGGCGCCGAGGAGAGGCGCTACGCCCTTCCCTTTGTGGCGGCCGCAGCCTGGGGTAGGAGGTCGCCCTCCTCTGCTCCCTGCCATCCTTGTTAAGTCCCTTCAGACTCCCTCTCCGCAGCCGCCACCCGAAAAGAATGGGCAAAGACGTGGGTGGAGCGGCGTGGAGGTGCCCCGATGGTGTCGGGGCCGCAGGCGGCGAACTGCGCAAAGTTCTGGCGCCGAGGGGGTCCCGGGCCCGGCCCCTGCTGGGGATACTGGGCTTTGCACCGCCTCGCCTGTCCCTAGAGCTCTTCAGAGCAGGGCCGATCCCCTGAACCGGGCTCCCGCTGACCTGGCCGTATCCTGTTTGCAAAGCTGGTATTTGATCTCCAAAACTCGATGCACCACGCATTTTCACACTTGATCGGATTTCTTAATCCTTTCCCTTTGCCCCCGAACCCTGCAGACTTGATTTGCTCTTCTGTTGGAGAAAAGGATTGCTTCAGGTGAAGGCCGGTGTTGATGCTCTCTTTTTAGAGGCAGTGGGTCATTTTAAATAAAAACTGGTGTCCTTTTAAAGTGCTGTTTACATTACCCTTTTACCCTATTGGATTCAAACTATGCGCTGGCACAGAGCGGTTCTTGCTACACCCTTAGAAGTGAGATTTTTCGAACCATGGTGAGTGATGGAGAAGTGGGTCAGCTTAAAAAACATGATAGGGAGGCCTGAGTCACAGATGGTTTACTCAGTTCGTAGAGAGATTCTTGAAATGATTGATCATTGAAAGTGTAAATCATTTGCATTCTACTTGTCTACTTTAAGATTTATTATAGAAAGGGACTTTTGACTGACCTCTAATTCATTATAAAATATTAACAAATGAAGAAAAAGAAAAGCTGACTATGTGCATCTCCCATTTGCAAGTTGTTTTTATCTTTGCCGTGAATACTTCAGTGGCGGCTGCAAGTATCGAATGTTCGAGTCTAGAATATTTTTTTTTTTAAAGAGAGGAAAGGAAATTGCATAGGAATCTGAACCTGAGCCCTGTTTATGCAGGGATAGAAACGTGTTTGTGATAGATAGCTAAATACAAATATGTTTTTGAAACGGTAGTTCTATTGCCAGAAATGGGCCCAGGTGCAGATGCAAGCTGATGGATTAGCTTCAGTACCTGTGTTTTCTTTCTGGAGAGACCCTGGACTTTTATCTTCTCTGCTGTAATTTCTGTTTATTGTTCCTCCTTTGATTGATATTCTAGGTTGGGGGCTTGATTAGGACTTCTTTGCTTACACTGTTGAGAATGCCCCTGGTACAAAGAATTCCTCATCTGTGTGCGCATTGATCTGAGCCTGTCCCCCGACACCTTTCAAGAAGCTAAAGTTCCCAGAGTAGCACCCAGAGGCATCTGTGCTGCCTTCGGAAGTTTTCAGTTTTGTATATCAGCACATTTTATATATTAGAAAGGTTAATCAAAATTTAGAGATGCCCCATGGACTGAAATGTTTTCACCAAGAGCAGATACCATGTTAATAGCTTCTAGTGGGAAAAGATTAACATAATGGATGTATTGTACTCTATTTAAATGTAAGGAGATTAGGAAAACTCCAAATGACTGCTCTCCTTGGATTGCCTGTTTGGATTTGAATTTAGACAATGTGTGCCAAATTTGGGGGAGTAAATGTGTTTTATTTGGCTCATGTACTGATGATATCGCAGTAGAAACCTAGGTTTTCTTTAAGTAGCTCAAGTTTGTAAATGTTAAAATTTGAAAGACTCTTTTTCTATACTCGGCCTCTTCATTCCCATCAGTTTAAATAAATAACAAATAATGAGCCTTTGGATGAATCAGTAAGAACATGTTTCACCTCTTAAAGGCAGTTTGTCAATTTGAGGCCACCAGGCAGCGGCCAGTGCAGAGAGGTAATTTACTGAATAGTGCCCTTGTGGCCTGAAAGAATTCATTTACCCCACCACTCAGTATAATGTATTTACTAGTCCTTTTAGACATATTAAGTTGAAACTAAAGCCTCAAATAAAAGGAAAATACCCAATTAGAGTCTTGTTTTGCACCAAAATGTAAGTATTTAAATATGTAAAACTGCATATGCTGTTCTTTTATTTTCATGGAATTTTCTTCATGGACTAAAAAGGGTATTTCGTTTTATAGATAATGCTAAGAGTCCATGAATGAAATATCAGATGTTTTATGTTTAATTAAAAGCAATGGCGTAAGTATTATAAAATACTTGAGTCTCACTGTCTTTATATCTTGTTTTTCATGGAAAATGTACCTTTTTTTTTTTTTTTTGAGACAGTCTTTCTCTGTCACCCAGGCTGGAGTGCGGTGGTGCAATCTCGGCTCACTGCAACCTCCGCCTCCTGGATTCAAGCAATTCTCCTGTCTCAGCCTCCTAAGTAGCTGGGATTACAGGCGCGTGGCACCACACCCAGCTAATTTTTGTATTTTTAGTAGAGATGGGGTTTCACCATGTTTGCCAGGCTGGTCTCGAACTTCTGACCTTAGGTGATATGCTTGCCTCGGCCTCCCAAAGTGCTGGGATTACAGGTGTAAGCCAGTGTAAAGAGTTAAATGTACTCTTTAACTTTTTGGTCCACCCAAGCGTGGAAGTGGCAAACCACTATAAAACTTTCATGAATTACAAAAAACATGGGGGAAGAAGGGATTGTCAGTTTTAATTAGTGAGACTATATTCAGACAAGTATAATTTTATTATTTTCAAACAATGTTTGGCAATTAGAACCAGGCTAATAGAGGATTGCCTAAAGACATCTTTATATAACTTACTTTAACACACGATTTGCAATTAGAATTAGGGAGTAGGTCTTTATAAAGAGCTTGAAGGAGCCTGGAAAGACTTTCTACATAGATAAAAATTAACCTCAGTCCAGCTTCCTATATGAATTATTAGAAATAGTCCAGATTACTGAAGATTTCTGTTCTGCTATGGGTGGCAGTGGTACAAAAAGGTGACCTGGAGGATGATTTTTTTTTTTTTTTTGAGATGGAGTTTTGCTCTTGTCACCCAGGCTGGAGTGCAATAGTACGATCTTGGCGCACTGCAACCTCCACCTCCCGGGTTCAAGCAATTCTCCTGCCTCAGCCTCCCAAGTAGCTGGGATTACAGGCGTGCATCACCACGCCCAGCTAATTTTGTATTTTTAATAGAGACAGGATTTTACCGTGTTGGTTAGGCTGGTCTCAAACTCCTGACCTGAGGTGATCCCCACCTCTGCATCCCAAAGTGCTGGGATTACAGGCGTGTGCCACCATACCTGGCTAATTTTGTATTTTTAGTAGAGATGGGGTTTTACCATGTTGGTCAGGCTGGTCTTGAACTCCTGACCTCAGGTGATCCCCTGGCCTCGGCCTCCCAAAGTGCTGGGATTACAGGCCATGGTGCCCGGCCTGGAGGATGAATTTCCTAGGAGCTTTCACCGTTGGATCTGAGGTTAAGATGCTCAAGGATCTTTAATACTTCCCTCATTTTGCTGTGTTTTTGCCTTCTGTTACTTTCTTCTGAAGGGCTTTGGGGACATTGAGGACAGGCCAAATTGTTGAAGAATTATTTAGAACCCACTGTCTTCTCGCTGTCCTTTTGATGTCCGGCTTCTCCAGTTATGAAATACATTTGGTATTGGTCATGATCTCTTACTGAGCTAATGTTATGGTCCATTGTTGGAGACAGAGTCAAATAAAATTCGTGTTGAACTTTGGTAACAAAACCAAATCTGTCCCCTTGCTTAACCAACATTGACTTACAGAGAGCATATACTTCCTAGAAAAATAGATGTTTCTCATAGCTTTCCGTTAAGAGAGCTTTTCCCTCAATATTCACTGGAAGCAGCTACTAAGAAGATTTATATAGGAACCAAAATAAACATAGGTGAGTATGTTTTTGTTGGCAGATACATGACTAAATTAGTCCCTGGGGTAGACATGAAATAGGGTTAAGACCTTTTTTTTTTTTTTTTTTTTTTTTGAGACCAATTCTCGCTCTGTCCCCCAGGCTGAAGTGCAGTGGCGCGATCTCGGCTCACTGCAAGCTCTGCCTCCCAGGTTCACGCCATTCTCTTGCCTCAGCTTCCGGAGTAGCTGGGACTACAGTAGGCGCCCGCCACCACGCCTGGCTAATTTTTTTGTATTTTTAGTAGAGACGGGGTTTCACCATGTTAGCCAGGATGGTCTCCATCTCCTGACCTTGTGATCCGCCCGCCTCGGCCTCCCAAAGTGCTGGGATTACAGGCGTGAGCCACCGTCCCCGGCCTAAGACGTTTTTAAGAGTTCTTTTTCTTAGAAAGATTGAAGATCTGGTATTGGACAAAGATGAAAACTTTGGAATTCTTTTAACAAAGAACATAATCTGTCTTCTACCATCCCCAATTTAGGGGGTAAAAAAAGGAAGTTCTTCTTTGGGCACTATGTTGTTGTATCTGACTTCATATGTCTGTTGTTGAAATTGAGTTGGGAACTTCCCCTTTGTCAGCTGTGTGGTATCAGTGGGAAAATGCAGAAACATTATGACTTGCAATAAGTTTTTCTTATGGAAAATTTAGGGATAACTCAAAGCTGCCCTTTCTGAAATTTGATCTGTTATCAACTGTATAAATCTAAATGGAAAAATAGATTAACGACAGTCTTTGCCTGAGGGACCTCCTCAAATCAAGAACTACTGTTTGAAATGATCAAGTGTCTGCTAAGACTTGCATCTGAATGGGTGATGTCACCCTTTGGCCCAGAACAAATTTTTTCCAGGGTTGTCTAAATATAGGACACATACTTTGCCATCTTTGTTTGTTAGTGCAAATGTACGTTATACATCTATACTAGTTAAAATCACTTTATTTTAACAGAACCAAGTTCTACTCCAAGTTCAAGAAATTGATTGTTGTTTTCTTTGAAAACATGTTAATGACGTTTTAAAAATACGCTTATTCAAAAATCAAACAATAGGGCCAGGTGTGGTGGCTCATGCCTGTCATCCCAGTGCTTTGGGAAGCCAAGGTGGAGGATCGCTTGAGGCCAAGAATTCAAGATCAACCTGGGGAACATAGCAAGACCCTATCTCGATGAAATAAAAAATGAGCTAGACATGGTGGTGCATGCGTATAGTTCCAGCTACTTGGGAGGCTGAGATGGGAGAATTGCTTCAGCCCAGAGAGCTGTGATCGCACTACTGTACTCCAGCCTGGGCAACAGAATGAGACTCTGTCTAAAAATATACATATATATATATCTCTCTCTTATATGTATATATTTATATATATCACATATATAAATATCAAAAGATATCAAATATATAGATATATAAATATCAAATATATAGAGATATATAAATATCAAATACAGATATATAATATCAAATACATAGAGATATATAAATCAAATATATATATAAATAAAATATATATATATATCAAACAATAAGGTATATAAGGTAGAGTGAAAGCCCCTGGTCACCTTATTTCCCAGAGCTGTCACCACTGATAGTTTAATGAACTCACTTTTTAATATGTGTGTGTGTTTAACATCGCTGGGATCTTACTGTACCTGGGTGCATTTGTTACCATGTATGTTTCGCTGACTCTTATTGTTGTGTGCTGGAACTTTCTGGGGTGATAGTAATCCAGTTGGGCAGTCATCAACACATGGAGCACTTGCATGTGACAAGTGTGACTGAGCTGAATGTTTTTATTTTATTTGAATTAATTTAAATTTAAATAGCTCCATGTGACTAGTGGCTATCATACTGGACAGCTCAGATCATATTCAGTCTTTGAATTTTGTTTATAAGCTTTCTTGGTACTCAAAAATTTCTGTATTTTATTTCCTGTCTTTGGTAGAATATGTCTAGTTTTCATTCTTTTTTTCTTCTGTGGATTATCTGTACACTTTTTTTTTTTTTTTTTTTTTGAGACAAGGTCTCACTCTGTCATCTGGGCTGGAGTGCAGTGGCACAATCTCAGCTCACTACAGCCTTGACCTCCTGGACTCAAGTGATCCTCCCACCTCAGCCTCTCAAGTAGCTAGGACTACAGGCACATGCCACCACACCTGGCTAATTTTTGTATTTTTGTAGAGACAGGGTCTCACTATGTTGTCTAGGCTGGTCTCGAACTCCTGAACTCAAGCAGTTCACCCACCTCCGTCTCCCAAAGTGTTGGGACTACAGGCGTGAGCCACCGTGCCCGGCGATCTGTACATTTTGAACAAGTATGTTTTCATCTATATTTCTTTATCCATATCAAAAAATTAACCACTATTTAAAATATTCTACCATCTCACAAGAAAAATCATGTAGGATATTTTGACTTCTTTTCATTTCCTAGGTTTAATTGAAATAACCTGGAATTGTAATTCTTTTATTTTTGCCCTTGTGTCACTAGAGACTTTTTTCTTAACTATTACATGTTTCACATTCCTGTTAACAAAAACATTTTAGACTTTCCTGACAGCTTTATTGTTTTTATGGGTTTCCATCGTTCTTTATAAAACACATCCTCCCGGCCAGGCGTGGTGGCTCGCACCTGTAATCCCAGCACTTTGGGAGGCCGGGGTGGGCGGATCACCTGAGGTCAGGAGTTCGAGACCAGCCTGGACAACATGGTGAAACCCCATCTCTACTAAAAATACAAAAAAACATTAGCCA